>NC_000005.10:20307820-20610851 GCF_000001405.40 Homo sapiens | reverse complement strand
CATGAATTAGTGTTAACATACACATAAATCATTGCAGCAAGTCAAGAGGAACTGAAGCAGAGTGCTGTTGGCGTCGATACAGTCACAGCCGGAAACTGAAGTGGATACATTCATGCAGTTAAAATAAATAGGTTCTACCTCTAACATATTTAATTCTTGTGATTTTCTGTTTTGTTAGATTCTACCAAAATTACTGTTCCTAAAATTAAAACCATTGTTGTTAAAAGTGAAGGATTATCATCATAAACAAACCAAGCTTTGTGATATTTTTCTTTTTAAAAGAAAACCTAAAGAACACTCAATAATGGAGGCCTCTCATTTTGGTATATCAAATTATTGAAAATTAAGAGTGATATAATTATCGTCTGATGCTGCTACACCATTCTTTCTGTAAGCCTTCGAACCAACAGCTTCAGAGGAATTAATAGCATACTGAAAAGGAATAACATCTTACTTATTTCATGTCATTACAAAAACTTGTCAAAGTCATTTTGAAACTTTGTGTCCTTTGGGGAGATCATTTAAAAAATAATAATTAGTCCATCTAGTACCTCTAAATAACAACTTTTCCTAACTTCCTCAAGCAAATTTATTTATATTTTAAACATCATCATTAGACTATATTCATAGTCGTAGTTTTGTTTGATTCTATACCTTCTTTGAAAACAATCTATATCCCAATTTCAGTTTTTATCTAGTGAAAATCAAGAATATCTATTAGTACAACAGAAAAAATAAGTCTGTCACTTCTCAGTTACTTTTTAATTTTATTTAAAAGATATAATTGGATCTAAAAGTTTTCTGTGTTTGCTAATTTTTTAAACCAGGCACATTTAATTTCAGGTGACTTTTAATGAAAATCTGTTTTTAATATTTTTATTAGTATTTCTTCAAAGCATTATACTAAGTTTAAAAACATGGATAATCAAATATGTCATTTAATGTGAGTTTTGATGATGTTGGAAGTAATCCTTTGTAAATAAAAGATACTATGGAATTTCATACAGTTAAAATGTCATAAATCAGAAAAAAGATAATAAATAGCTTTCAGATACACTAGATGACTTAGAGATAAAAAAGATAATTACTGAAAATATAGTAATAGCCAGATTCAAATTAGACAAGTGAATTTAATTCACAGGTATATTTTTTCTTCCCACTAATACTTTACCAATGAAAGTAAATATGAGTAAAAGTAAAGATTCATGCAGACAAAAACAAGAGAGCGGTCTAAAGGTGAAAAGGCAAATAGGTGAGTGTTAACTAATGTGTGTGCCCAGATCAAACCAGAAAATAAAGGCGGTGATTGTCACCTGCATCTCGAGAGGTTGATGCTCAAGAGCCAGGTAGGGTCACGTGCAGGAGTGAAATGTTGAGAATGTCAATGGAGGATCTGTATCCTGAACACCAGGGATCCCCTTCTGGACAAAGACCTCTAAAATAAGGACTGGCAAGCTGAACAGTTACCAGGAAGAGGCTGATTGATATTAAGCAACCAACTGGACATTTACACATAGCCACATTGCATCCCCAGCTTTTGTCATGAGATTACTTCTCTTTTCTCAGGCCTAATGGGAAGTCTGAGGAGCCTTGTCTGAAAAACCTAAAAGACCATGGGGAGAAGTTTCCATCTATTGACATTTGAGTCTCCCCTTGCACAGTCAGCACTGCATAAAGTCATCAAGGTACAAGCCTCACCTATATATATGGATATTCCATTAAGTATTGTTAGTGGTTCACATCTAACTCATGCATTTAGTAATTCATTAGTTAAATGAATACCTATTGTGCATATATCATGGTCCAGTGACTGCTCTTAGTGATTGGGATAAGTGAGTAATGGAGAAAGATCACATCTCTTAAGGTATTTATATCCTAGTTATGGGATGACCAACAGTAAACATTAGACATACAGATGCAAAAATTACCTAGTAGCAAGTGCTATGAACAAAGAGAAAAAGTGGAACTGCTTAAGAAGGTTCAAGAGTTCTGGGGACAGGAAGAAGTTATTATTAGAATGGTCAAAGGAGGTCTCATTTTAATGAGGTGAGGGAATTAGCCCTGTGGGTATCTCAGGAAAGAGAATTCCAGACAGAATAAATAGGCAGTTCAAAGGATGCAAGGATTAGCATGCTTACTATGTTTGAAAAGAAACAAGTAGCTCCCTGCAGCTAGAGAAAAGTAAGAGGGAAGTTGTTGGTTGTAGAGAAAATGGGAGAAAGATCTTTCATAAAGAATTTAAAATATAAATAGACTACTAGGAGCAGGTTACACAAGGAAACAGAAAGTACTCAGCATGAAAAAGAAAAAAACATTAAATAAAAACTATAAACACAAGCAAAAGGAATTAGAGATAATGAAAACAGCAGGAGAAATCTACACAAACCAAAATAACAATATCACCATGTTTTCAGAAACATGAAAATCAATTCCATCCATAAAACAGAAAGGGTATGACACTTGATTTTTTAAAATATCTACATCCAGACTCATTTTCATGTTTCAGTCTACTAAAGAGAATCCTAATAGTGTGTGGGGCGGGGAGGAGGGAGAAGCAATTTAAACAAGAGGCATGAGCATAAAATTGAAATTCAACTTTTCAACAACATTGCTGAATGACAGAAAATTGAACAGAATTGTCACAACTTTCACAGAAAATGCTGTTTAAGATAGAATTCTGTTTGCAGCAAAATAATCAAAGGTGAAAAGCTATAGATAATTTGGTGAAAAAATGACTGAAATAAATTATTTCCAAGAACTTTCTTAAGAAGATATCCTCCAGCAAAAGGAAAACTTAACTAAGAAGGAGGACATACTATCCAAATATAGTGACCCCTATCCAGCACAAGTCCCCAAAATATACGTGTACAAATGTCCTACAAAACAGTTTAGCTTGGGACAAGACAGTAGAAGACACAAAGTGAAGGGACAATGGGGAATAAAATACTCAATACTATAGAGTAATGATAGCATAAGAAAGAAAGTGATATTTGCATGGTAAAGTGTACAAAGAATAAACAAGACAATTATTAGCTCAAGAAAAATATGTATAAGAAATATTTTTTATATATTTGGCCTTTCATGAAGTATTTCCATTGGCATAATCATGTAAATACTGAATATTAGTTTAAATGACATACACTTTTGACTATAGAGGGTAGGAGAGGAATAGTGAAGTATAAAATAATTCCATCTGTGCATGTTGTCTTGATTTTTCTTATTGTTGCCATAACAATTTACTACAAACAGTGACAAAAAAATAATAATATATTATTTCACAGTTTGGTAGGTCAGAAGTCCCAGTGTGCTCAGCTGGCCCTCTCCTTCAGGTTCAAGACTAAACCAAACTATTGGCTGTGCTTCATACCTTTCTGGAGGCCCTGAGGAGGAATGTGCTTCCAAGCCTATTCAAGTTTGTGTCCACTTGAATTTATTTGTGGTTCTAAGACTGAGGTGTCTGTTTTCTTGCTGGCTGTCAGTTAGCGTGGAGGTGGGGGTACCCCTAAGTCCTAGAGGTATCTGTCTAGTGACATGTGGTGGTGCTTCCACTGTTCTTTCTCTCAGCCTGTATAACTGCTTGCATTTTTTCCCATTGTTGCTGCAACAAACATCACAAATGTAATGGTTTAAAAAATATACATATTATTTTACAGTTGTCTTGGTTAAGAGTCCAACATGGATATTACTGGCCTAAAGTCAACATGTTGGCCTGGCTGCCATTTCCTCTAGCAGCTCCCAAAGAGCATCCATTTCCCTGTCTTTTCCATCTTTTTGAACCCACCTGCAATCCTTGGCTCATGCTCTCCTTCCTCCATCTTTGAAAGCCAACAGTGAGTGTCAGGAGGAGTCCTGCCCACATCACATTACTCCTACCTTCTCTCCTGCCTCCCTCTTTCACTTTTAAGGATCCTGTGATGGCACTGGTCCCACTGAGATAATCCAGGATAAACCTATTTTGAAGTCAGCTGATTAGCAACCTAATATGATCTGTAATCTTATTCCCCTAAAGTAACCTAACATTCACAAATTCTAGGAGATTAGGATTATGGGCGATTTGGGGAGACCATTATTCAGCCCACCACAGTCTCTATTCAGTCCATTCTTTTATTATTTGTATGTAATGAATAAATGACAACCTAGCATAATGGAATGAAGTACTTGTTGAGCACTGCAGATGTTATTCTGGACCTGAATTCACCATCCTTCTGCTGTCCTTAGCTCACAGCCTTGCCCCACTTACTTTACTGTATCAGGTCCATACCAATTCCACTTTTAAAGCCATCCTACTCCCATCTCGTGAAGAACGCTCTAAACTCTCTATAACCTCCCAGCATTTCTCATTATATTGTAAACATAAGTTAGAATTATTGCAGTAAAAAGAATCCCAAGATTCCAATGCTTTAACACAGCAAAAGCTTATTCCTTTCTTGTTAAAATTCCTGAAGCTCACAGCAACATTCCAGATCCCAAGTAATGTATGTGATGACAGTTTTCCAGGTTGATGAAGTTCCATTATTCTGCAGCTACACATTTTGGAGCACATGGCTTCCTCAGTTATAACACAACAGGAAGTTTGAGCAGGAGGATCTCACAGTGTTCATTAAATGCTTCAGCTCAGATATGACATAAGTCACTTGTTCTCACAATCCATTTGCGAGAATTAAGCAATCCTTAACTGTTGGCAGTGGGAGCAGGAAGGGATAATCCTCCAAGATTCATGAAAAGAGAGGAGAGGCAGTAGAGAATACGCATTAAAATTTTCCACGGTACTCATTTTCATAGACATGCATGACCTTTCTTAGGTGGGTTCAGTTAGCATCAATAACCTCTCAGATCTGATTTTGGGTTGCAACATTTATTCTTAAACATTTCTCTCTCACAGTGAGTCCAGTATTATTATCCAAATCATCTTCATGCTGTCTGTCTCCCACAGATCAGGTGGTCCTATCATCACAGCTGCAAGTGATTTATCAACTTCATTTCTGTAGCCTCATTCTATTAAATATTTAGATGACAGGGTAAAAAATTATCTATGGTCTAAGTCAAACACCTCTAGGTAGTTTAGCCAAAAAAGTTGCTCTGTTTAAAAATACACTACAGTTTCCATCCCTCAATACAGCTCCAGTAGCTCCCTATAAAATACTGAAATGCTTACATAAATATTAACATCAATATGATTTTTTTTCATTTTCTTGTAGCTGCACGTTTATGTTGACATACCCAGTGCTATTCTGATTCATGATTGTATTAGTTTTTAAGTCAAATTTTTAACTTGACTTAAAACAAAGTACATTTATGGCTGGGCGCAGTGGCTCATACCTATAATCCCAGCACTTTGGGGGGCTGAGGTGGGTGGATCACGAGATCAGGAGATCGAGACCATCCTGGCTAACACGGTGAAACCCCGTGTCTACTAAAAATACAAAAATTAGCTGGGCATGGTGGCGGGCGCCTGTAGTCCCAGCTACTCAGGAGGCTGAGGCAGGAGAATGGCGCGAACCCTGGAGGCAGAGCTTGCACTTAGCCGAGATCACGTCACTGCACTGCAGCCTGGGTGACAGAGCGAGACTCCTTCTCAAAAAAAAAAAAAAAAAAGTAAATTTACTACTTCAGTTTCCCAGGGTCAGAAGCCCAAGCATAGTCCATCTGGTTCTTTACTTAGGATCTCCCAGGGATGTAATCAAGGAGCCAATTTGGCTGCATTCTCACTGGGAGATGTGAAGCAGAATGCAGCTGCAAACACACGCAGGCTGTTGGAAGACTCCATTTCCTCGTGGCTGTAGGACTCATGGCAGCTTGCTGTTCTAGGCCAGCAGTAAAGGGTGTGAATTCAGGGAAGGCCCTCCAAACTTGCGGGTGATTCCAACTGATAAAGACAGGCAACTTCTGATAATCTCCCTTTTGATTAACTGAAAATGGATTGATTTAGGGTATGAGTTACATCTGGAAAATCCTTTAACATTGCTGTTATAACATAACCTAATCAAAGGAGTGACACTCATCTCTTTCCCACATAATGTAATTTAATCATGAATGTGGCACCAGGAATTGGAGACCATGGGAGCCATCTTAGAATTTTGGTTACGGCTAGGATCCTGTCTTCATCTTTCAAACATGGAAGATTTGTGGAACGTCTCCTCTTTAAAACACCTGTAACATTTCAGGAGGCTGTGTGAGTGCATTGTCACTGATTGTGTAATGCTTGCGGTGAGGCTTTTCAATCTAAAAAATCATTTCTTCATTTCTGAAACATGCTTATATGGATTTCTATGATAATTTCTCCCTCTCCATTTTTGATCTTGGGGGGTATTTTTCTTAGTTTCTCCTAGTTACTGTTTTGTTTATTTTAAAATATAATTTATTCATTTGTTAATATGTAGTAAAATCTTTTCAATTTCCAAGAACTTTTATTTTTATATGAATATTTTTATTTTCTTCAGTTTATTTGTGAGATGAAATTCCATGTCATAAAATTGTAGAGACTTTTTTTGTAGTTCTTTCCCTGTTCTGTTTAAAACTTCTCTGGTACCTGTGAGTTGTTCATTTTAGATTTGCTAGTTTTATTATCTGACTTTTATTTAGAATATTCATTCAAATGGTTCATTTTTTTGGCTTCCCATTAACAATCAAGAGAGCAACATAAAATAATTGATTTAAAGCACTGTATGTCGATCAAACTTGTTGCATAGCCTGCCTCACTGTAAGATCATACTTCTGTTTCCTGGCTTTCATTGGATCACTTCCAATAACATGGTTCAATTTAAATTAAATTTTTATAAATATTCTGATTTTATTTTATGTGTTACCTCTTTTGGTCCTGCCAGAGAACATTCTCTGCTTTTAAGGACTCATATGATTTGATTGGGTCCATTGATATGATCCAAAATAATCTCCCATTTTAAGGTTCATAACCTTAACGTCATCTGCAGAGTTCCTTATTTACAGGTTCTAGGGATAAGGGCCAGGGCATCATTGGAAGTCCTTTCTTCTACATAGGTTGTTTAGCTTCCCCAGAAAGTGAACTTCATGACTTCTACCTGTATAAGTCTGGCTGCCAACATTTTGGTGGTTTAGTAATGAAAGAACTTCAGAATTTTAACGAATCTCTTTACTTTTAGTTTATTCTATAAACCATATCCAGTTTTGCCTGTTATCTCTTTTATTTTATTTTATTTTTGAGATGGAGTCTCGCTCTGTGGCCCAGGCTGGAGTGCAGATGCCTAAACACAGCAGAAACTTGGTAGGTGAATTCTTATCCATTTTGCCATTCTGCATCTTTTAAGTGGAGCATTCAGGACAGTTACATTCAGTGTTAGTATTGAGATGTGAGATACTAGTCTATTTATTGTGCTATTTGTTACCTGAATACGTTTTTTTTTTCGTTGTGTTATTGTTTTATAGGTCCTGTGAGACTTGTGCTTTAAGGGGGTTCTAATTTTGGTGTATTTTGAAAATTTGTTTCAAGATTTAGAGCTCCTTTTAGCAGTTCTTGCAGTGCTGGCTTGGTAGTGATGAATTCTCTCAGCATTTGTTTGTCTGGGAAAGGCTGTATCTTTCCTTCATTTATGAAGCTTAGTTTTGTTGGATACAAAATTCTTGGCTGATAATTGTTTTGTTTAAGGAGGCTAAAAAGAGGACCCCAATGTCTTGTAGCTTGAAGGGTTTCTGTTGAGAAGAATGTTGTTAATCTGATAGGGCTTCCTTTATAGGTTACCTGATGCTTTTGTCTCACAGTTCTTAAGATTCTTTCCTTTGTCTTGACTTTAGATGACCTGATGAATTTGTGTCCAGATGATGATATTTTTGCCATGAATTTCCCAGGTGTTCTTTCAGCTTCTTGTATTTTTATGTGTAGATCTCTAGTAAGGCTGAAAAAGTTTTCCTTGATTAATCTCTCAAATATATTTTCCAAACTTTTAGATTTATCTTCTTCCTTGGAAATACCAATTATTCTTAGGTTTAGACATTGAACATATTCCCAAACATCTTGGAGGATTCATTCAGTTTTAAAATTCTTTTTTCTTTGTCTTTGATGGACTGGGTTAATTTGAAAGCCTTCTCTTCATAGTCAGAAATTCTTTCTTCTGCTTGTTTTATTCTATTTCTGAGACTTTCCAGTGCATTTTGCATTTCCCTAAGTGTGTCCTTCATTTTCGGAAGTTGTGATTGTTTTTTATTTATGCTATCTATTTCACTGAAGAATTTTCCTTTCATATTTTGTATCATGTTTTTGATTTTTTTAAGTTGGACTTCACTTTTCTCCTGTGTCTCCTAGATTAGCTTAATAATTGACCTTCTGAATTCTTTTTCTGGCAATTCAGAGATTTCTTCTTGGTTTGAATCCATTGCTGGTGAGCTGGTATGTTCTATGGGGGGTATTAAAGATGCTTGTTTTGTAATATTACCAGAATTGTTTTTCTGGTTCCTTCTCATTTGGATACATTATGTCAGAGGGAAGATCTGGGATTCAAGCACTGCTGTTCAGATTCTTTTGTCCCAGGGATGCTCCCTTGATGTGGTTTCCTCCTTCTTCCTCTGGGAATAGGGCTTCCTGAGAGCTGAAGTGTAGTGATTGTTTTTGCTCACCTGGGTCTAGCCACCCAGAAAAGCTACGGGTCTCTGGGCTGGTATTGGGGAGTGTCTGCAAAGAGTCCTCTGATGTGATCCATCTTCAGCTGTTGCAGCTATGTATACCAGTACCTGCTCTGGTGGAGGTAGTAAGAGAATGAAATAAACTCTGTAAGAGTCCTTGGTTGTGTTTTTGCATAGTGTACTGGTTTTGTGTTAGTTGGCCTTCAGCCAGGAGGTGGCGTTTTCCAGAGCACATCAGCTGTGGTTCTATAGGAAGGATGCAAACTTGCCCTAGGGACATCTTGTTAAGTATCCAGGTTTCTCAGGGAGTGGGCAGGGCCATAGAGCTCCCAAGAGCTTATAACCTTTGTTTTCAGCTACCAGGTCAGTTAGAGAAAGACCACCAGGTGGAGGCAGGGATAAGCTTGTTGGAGCTTAGCCTCTCCTTGGGCGTGGCTTGCTGTGGCTTGCTTTGGCTGCTGTGGGGAATAGCAGTGTGGTTCTCAGTCCAGTGGAGTGGAATTCCCTGGAGGATTATGGCTGTCTCTGCTGAGTCATACGTGTAATCAGGGAAGCAGGGGAAAGCCGGCAGTCACAGGGCTCACCCTACTCCCATGGACTCTACAGTTTAAAAGGCCAGTCTCACTTCCACCATGCCCCTACAACAGCACTGAGTCTATTACCAGGCAGCTGGTGAGTGGGGCTGAGAATTTGCCCCTGACCCTGAGCCTCCCCATTGAGAACGCAAGCCAACTCACGTTTTTTGGCATCTCGGGGACCCTCAGCGGTGCTCTAGCTCCTTGAAAGGGTCTGGATTCTCTCAGCTTTCCTGGGATGTTCCTGTGGTAATTCTTGGAGCAAAAGTTCACACTGTGAGTCTCCACACGCTGGTCTGTCCATCTGAGTGGGAGGTGCAAGCTAGTTCAGCCTCCAGTTCACCATCTTAATCCTATTCAATTGTATTTCTTCCCAATGGATGGTAAGTTCCACGAGGACAGGGTTTTTGTTTGTTTATTTGTTTTGTCATTGCGTTATCACCAGTCCCTATATTGGTGCTTAGGAAACAGTAGGCACTCAAAAATGTGTGCTATTTTAATTATCGAATAAACAAATTTACTATATATAAACAAATTAACTATACAATGCTATGGGTAGCATTATAATGCAGTTCAATCTAATGAAGTTTGATGTAATGATATATATTGCATAATATTTAAGACTTTTCAACGCCAAGACTTTGACATTGCTAAAAAATTGACTTTTAATTTTTTTTTTTTTTTTTTTTTAATGAAAGCGAATCTGTGAATTACATCCATGGGCATAAATTTTTACCTGACAAAAGCAATATATGGGAATACGTGTTTCAAAGTCATATATTCAACTAAAAATTAATCTTTCAAATACCACACATGCTTTTTTGTCAGAACAAATTTCTTTCTTATCTTTGGCAAATTACATTTCAATTAGAGAATAAGTCTATATTCCTATTTAATTCCTCCCTCACCCAAACATTCCCCTATATTCCTAAGGACTTTCCCCTGGAATCCTTGCATTTTTTTAATTGTGTGGCAAGAATTTCATCACATACTGAGGTGAAGCAGAGAAACACTGAAATGGACATTACGGTTGCTTGGGAATAAATGCTCACCAAAGATTAAATGGCTTAAAATTGTGGATTGCATATTTTGCAAGCATTTTCTGATATATTTAATTCATCTGAGGAAGTCACTGAAAATTAATAAAACTGGCTCATATGTGATTAACATATATTTGAAGTTTTGGATGTCATTCAAGACCTCTTGGACTTACATTATTTGGATTTTCTTATTAAATAGAAATATCCCAACATACTAAAATATGTGTTTATAGAATGATATAAAAGACACCCTCCACCATAGTTAAACAAATGTTAAAAAATATTTTAGTTAAACTTTATTTCTTTATTTTTAGCAATGAACCATAGAGAGAGTAAAGTTCTGTTCATACCACTTTACTAGTTCTCTCTCAGAGATAAGCATTATATTGAAGTCAGTACAATTTCTACATGTCCAGTGTTTTTAAAATGTAATTTGTTTATTAAAGATTTCTGTGTTTCAGAAATTGCGTACATAGCATTATAATATATGTGTTGTTCTGGGAAAAAAATTGTATATAAGATAAGATTTGTTAACCAGTTTTAGTAAACTTCAATGGGACTTTCTCTATATTTGTAATCCTCTTAGTGATGCAACAAGATTATTCACAGTTGATCTGCAGAGTTCTTTCTGTGATGTTAAAAGACAAACAAGATGAGAATATAGAGGGGGTGAGCGTGGGGAGGGGGGACGAGGCTTTTCTCCTCTGCAGGAAGGGCTGCACCCAAACTCAGATTCCCAGGGATCCGTGGGTGTTTTCCCCTGGCAGAAAGGCTTGTGACCTCCCATTGGCCCCAGGGCTCTAGATAGAAGGAATTCATAAGCAATTTATGTAAATAATTGGACTTAAACCTAGATCATCTTGCCTAGAAGCAGTTTATTTGTTCCTGCATTAAAATGTTCCTTCAGTGATTTAAAAAAAAAAAGGGTGAAAAGGGGGAGAGTCACCCTTCAGAACAGAGCTCTCTGGCCTCCATCAGCCTCTCAGTAGGATAAAGGGAGGATGAGGAAACCATGATTTCTCTTGATTTGCTGCTCTTGAACTTGGGTTTATTTCCTCAGTGAAGCCTGTCCCTGAACACATGCCATAGTGATGATGTGAAGTTCATTTCTAGTTCTGCTACACATTATGCTTTTTTTCAAAACAGTGATTTTCATAACATGACAGCTCACAATCAGATGGGAATTAATTCCTTGTACGATCTTTAAGGAAATGGCAGAAGGGGCCAATAAGGGTACCCAATACATGGAAGACATTCCTTATGGAAGCAAAGAGCACTTCCTAGAGGACTGATGGGGTCAGCTGTGGGTAAAGTGGAAGCAGCTCTCAGGATGTGGGCAGATGATTGGAAGAGCAAGTGATTGGGAAGCCCTGGTGACAGACACAAGAGTAATCCTGAGAGGGAAGTTTGTTCAGCTCTAGGAGAAGCTGCTGAAGCAGTGGTTGAACATAGAAACGCCATAGAAACATGAGCCACTGCTGACCCTGAATGGCTGGTCGTGGTGATGCTGTCTTGCCGACAACGGAAAATACCAAACTCTTTCTGCTTACGGGCTATTGACTTTGCTCTTCTCTCAGGCCTTTGAATGGCATACTCAAACTCAAACTATATCTTATCCCAAATGTTACATGTTAAGAGAAACCTTCGCTGACCATGTCTAAAGTGGCCTCTCTCAGCTTCTGACTAGCTGATCTTGTTAATTTATTCCAAAGCATTCATCACGATCTGTGATTATCTTTGATTGATTGATAGCTTATTTATTTATTTGTGTTCCCATTGGACCATCATTCTTTGTTCACTGTAACTATTATTGTGATCGCTGCTATGTCCAGGGACTATTCATTGGATTTTCAACCTCATTCCACCTAACACCCCTTTTTTTGTTTGTTTCTGTAGAAAAATTTAGAAAGGCCTGGATTAGTCTGTTCTTGCATTGCCGTAAATAAATACCTGAGACTGGGTAACTTAAAAAGAAAAGAGGTTGAATTGGCTTATGATTCTGCAGTCTGTACACAAAGCATAGCAGCTTCTGCTTCTGGGGAGGCCTCAGGAAGCTTCCAATTATGCCAAAAGGCAAATGGGGAGCAAGGCATCTCACCTGGCTGGAGCAGGAGCAAGAGAGAGAGGAGCAGGAGCAAGAGAGAGAGGAGCAGGGAGTGGCTACACTCTTCTAAACAACCAGATATCATAAGAACTCACTCACTATCACAATGACAGCACCAAGTGGATCATGCTAAACCCCTCATGAGAAATTTGCTCCCACAATTCAATTACCTCCCATTAGGCCCACCTCCAACTTTGGGAATTACAATTTGACATGTGATTTGGTGAAGACACAGATCCAAACCATAACAGCCCCTTATCTATCTTACTACAAAATATATGTCTATGCTCAATTTCAGAAAGTCAACAGGATGCTCAAATTATGAAAGAGAAATAAAAGGAATGTATTATTATAAAGGCACATATTTTAATATGTAAATACATTCCACTTCACAGTAGACTTACAATAAACATATAAAATAATGCAATGCATATAGTGCAATATAATATATAATGAAGGAGTTAGATTCCTGCACTTAATGAAAAAATCAAGACTGCAATAGCCAAACACTGGCCCAACTGTTTTGTATTGGAAGCTCTGATATTTTGGTAGTATTTTGGTAGATAACACGTGGCAAAGCTTTGAACAAACCAGAGGACAATCATTCTTCAATTTATTTACTAACTTCACTTCTAAGGAAACTTCTACAAAACGGTATGTTTTTTTTTAATTTGTTACATTTTTAATTAAGACATGTTACAAAAAGTAAAGGGCACAAACCTTGAGTCTACACCTCGATGGAATTTTACCTGTGGGTACACATGTATATTCATCCCTCAGGAGGAGATAAAAATCAATTCAAGGACCTCAGCTTCCTCATGACCTTCTCAGATATCTACCACTCCAAATATAACCACTATTCTAATTGCTAATAGCATATATTAGTTGTACCTGTAATCTTTTGTTTATTGGTTATCTCTTCAACATTATGTCTATTTGAATTATTCACGTTGTGGTGAATAGTTCTGGCTTGTCATTTTCATTGCTACCTTGTATTCCACTGCGTGAACTTATCAGAACATACTGACCTCTTGATGAATAATCTGATTTGTTGCCAGTTTGGGCTCTTAAACATAATGTAGCTATCAATATTTTCTTAATATGTCTTTTGATAGACATAAACTTACTCATCTATTTTGCCTGTTTCATAGGACATAAGCGTACTTAACTTTAGAAGATATTGCCAAAATAGTTTCCAAAATGCCAGTGCCAAGTCACACTTTCAAGAGTTTGTGAGAAATTCTGTTTATTCAATATTTCAATGAACATTTGGTATTGTCATATTTTTATTAATTGCTGCCATTCTGGTGGAATGTATTAGTATCTGTTTTGTACTTATTTTGAAATATTGTTACCAGCCTTGGCTTTCATTTTCATTTTCTTAATATTATCACTTGATGAACAGAAGTTCTTAAATTTAAGGAAGTCTAATTTATCACTTCAAAAATAGTGTTTTTGTTGCAGGATTATGTAATTCTTTGACTATCCCCAAATCATGAAGATATTCACATGTGTTTTGATATAGAAGCATTATTATTTTATCTTTATGTTTATATTTATGATTTATTATGATATAGTCTGCGCTGTGTAATATAGGCATCAAGTTGAATGATTTTTATGGCCTAGTAATATATATATATTTTTGAGATGGAGTCTCGCTCTGTCGCCTAAGCTGGAGTGCAATGGCATGATCGTGGCTCACTGCAACCTCCACCTCCCGGGTTCAAGCGATTCTCCTGCCTCAGCCTCCTGAGTAGCTGGGACTACAGGCATGTGGTATTTTTAGTAAAGACGGGGTTTCACTGTGTTAGCCAGGATCGTCTCAATCTCCTGACCTCATGATCTGCCTGCCTCGGCTTCCCAAAGTGCTAGGATTACAGGTATGAGCCACCACGCCTGGCTGGCCTAGTAATATTTTTATGATAAGGACTATTCTTCCTTTTCAGAATGGACTCTCCATTCTCTTGTAGGTCTATCTTTGAACCAATACCACTCTATCAACATGTGTACCTTTAGAAATATAGAACAAAAGACATAACTAATAAGCCAATAATCCAGAAAAACGTAACTCTAAAAAATATATTCAATTAACCAAAAGAAGACAGGAGAAGAGTAAAAGGACCAAATTACAGACACCACAAATAGTAGAAAATGTGAGACGGCAGGTTTAAACTCAACCATAATATTACACTTAAAGGGAGACATTGTCAGATTGGATAAAAAATGAAAGATCCACCCGTAGATTTTCTACAGGCAACACATTTTAAATATTAAAGACACAAGTTAAAAGATAAAATTAGATACACTGTGCAAATGCTAGTCAAAGGACAGCTGGAATGTTTCAATTTATATAAAATGCAGTATAGGACAAGGAAGACATTCCATAATGAAAAGCAGACAAATTCATCAATAGAAACAAAATTTGTTCCAGCAAGAGGACAGCAAACAACAGAGCTTCAAAAATATCCCCAAATGAAGAGTGGCTTGGAAAGCGAATTCACATAAATTTTCATTGACAGAATATTCACAAAAACTAGACAGTGCATTACCTTGTTACAGTTTTTAGGTATTTATACACTACAGATAGTATGTCTTATGTTTGGAAAGCATTTGTGTCAGTGATAGTACCAACAGTATACAGAAAGCATGGTTACATTAGAAACATTTGTTTTCAAAAAGTACTAACTACAAGGGTTAAATGCTACGTAAGAAAATGAGATATTGCTCCTCACACTTGAGAGCATTAGCTGCGGGGGGCTGCCCATAGACCCCGACCTAAATGATGGATGAATAAAACGTACACTGACACACAGATATTCTGCTTTGCCAGTCCAGCTGAGTGTCCGACTGCCTGCACACCAAGAGAGGTTTGTCACTGTGGCTGGTCCTGAGCAGCTCACACTCCAGGCATTTATTTGGTATACAATTAACAACAGAAGCTTTGAGTCAACACATTTGTGGATAATTAACATGGTTAAGAGAGTAGTTCTAGGAATGAATAAAGCTCAGGTACGGAGGTCTAAGGTAAATATCATTAGGGGACAATATCCCTGGTCGACCTCTCCCCGAGAGGGCTATCTGACTTAAAGGTTAGTTAATGGAGGTAGGGTAAACAGACTTAACTGGGGAAGCCTCTATTGTCCCTAATATTTACTCTATAATATTTCTGCCACTATCCTTAGTGAACCCCAAAAAGAAAACAAAGAGAGATAGAGCAGGTACCTAAACATGGATGATGTGACTGCACTTTGCTGGAAGAGATGAGTAAATGGTTACTGAGAACCCAAAGTCACGATAAGATTTTCAAAGAGCGGAAGTAACATATGATTGATGGTTGCAACTAGCTCAAGATGACAACTCAAAAAGGCAGCCAGAAGTAGACATACCCATGCCTCAATTTCCATTCTCCCCTCACTTTCCACCCACTCCCAATTTCTTTGCACGTTTCCCCATTCATCAAAACCTACTGGATACTAGATTGCATAGGAGCCTAGTCAATGTCCTAGTCAGAGAGCAGAGCAAAGAACAAAACTTGCATTTATTGAGGTAAGTAGAAAACTTACAGCATGGTGCTCATAAAGAGATAGAAAATACTGTTTTTTACAAGAAAGAAAAACAAACAACACATATTCTCGCTTAAAGTGGGAGCTGAACAATGAAAACACATGGACGCAGGTAGGAGAACAACACACCCTGGGACCTGTGGTGGGGGTTGGGAGTAGGGAGAGCATCAGGATAAATAACTAATGCATTCTCAGCTTAATACCTAGGTGATGGATTGATAAGTGCAGCAAACCACCATGCACACGTTTACCTATGTAACAAACCTGCACATTCCGCACAGGTATCCTGGAACTTAAAATAAAATTAAATTTAAAAGAAAAGTAAAGAAAATGCTGTTTGTTTGTTTTTTTTTTTAACAAATGGAATCCAAATCGTGTGTCACAGGTTAAAATGTCCCTCAAAACTTTATATGTCTTGGTACCTCAGAATATGACCTTTTTAAATAATGGAGCCATTGCAAACATAATTAGTTAAGATAAAGGTCATATAGGTGTAGGGTGGGCCCATAAATTCAGTATGACTGATGTCCTTATAAAAAGGGGAAATTTGGACACAAACATACAGATAGCGATAATAGCATGTAAAGACTGGGTTATGCCGCCACAAGCCAAGGAACTATGAGAATCTAGAAGAGAGGCCTGGAACGGATTCTTCCTGGCATCTAAAAAGGAGCAAGGCCCGTATGCACCCTGATCTTGGACTACAATTTAAATTTCAACGTATTTTCCTCTATCAACAGAATTTCTAATACAGCACATATGTATGGGAATATGTAATAATTGGGACACATAGAATTGTGCCATTAAATATTAGAGGATTCATTAACAGATTCTGTACTGGTGGAATCTTTAAACATGAGGCTGCTTGAATATTGTAATGCTTAGTGGTAGGTGTCCATGTGACTAGGCCTTAGTACTCAGATAGTTAAGGAAACACTAATCCACATGTTACTGATCAGTTGACTTTAATTAAAGAAACTGCACTAAGTAATGCAGCTGGGCCTCATCAAATCATTTAAAAAGCCTTAAGAGTAAAAAAAAAAATCCAAAAAACCACACACACACACACACACACACACACACACACACACACACACACACAGAAAATGCGATTTCCTGGTGAGGAAAACCCCTGCCTCAAAACTGCAGCATCATTGAGCCCTTCCTAAGTTTCCAGCCTACTGGCCTGCCTTATGGATTCAGATTTGCAATCCACCACAATCATGTGAGCCAATTCCTTTGTGTGTGTGTGTGTGTGTGTGTGTGTGTGTGTGTGTGTGTAATATATAATATATATAATGCATATTATATATAAAATAAGTAGAATGACAGAAATTGAGAAATACAGAATTGAGTGTATATGTACTGTGTGTGTGTACATATATATGTATGTATGTATGTGTGTGTGTGTATATATATATGTGTGTATATATATATGTGTGTATATATATATATGTGTGTGTGTGTGTATATATATATATATATATATATATATATATATATAATGTTTCTCTGGAGAACCCTAACTGGTACAGACATTTCCCATTCTGTTATCTGGTGACACCTAATTGATACCGATGTTTCCCACTGCTTTTGAGCACAGGCTCATCTTTATTCTCCCTAGTTTCTGAAAGTTAATTTATTATTGTGTTATAAATGAACAACTATGACAATATTTCATTTCGCTTTGAATTTCTTATAATATCAGTCTCCTTATATATGTCTATTTCTCTTTTATAATTTTAGAAGCCTCTCTCTCTCTCTCAGAACCAGCTCAGTCTCCTTGATTTGCCCTGGAGTTCTCAGTGTCAGCTCCTCCCAGTGGGTGTGTGGCAAGTGGATCCAGATGACTCCTGCTCTTTTCTGTAACACTTTGTATCAAGGAAATATAGGGCAAAGACTCATGAATTAAGAAAATTTCTCATTTATAGAAAGAGCATAGAACTGGGTCACAGGAGTTTTCTTAGCTTGTCCTGAAAGTAATTTTATATAAAATTCAAGATTATCCTCACAATATGAGAATGTCTAATGATGGAATCAGAAACTAACTTTCTGCTGATAGATAGGTAATCATAAAAAGGGCACTTTATGGACTGATCCCATTTTAATTGAAGTAGGAAAGTTGTCATATGAGAATAACTTACACACTTACAAAGATGACTAAATTGTTACAATGTGCCAGAGATAACACTGGAAATAGACATGAAGTAACCCAGGATCCGTTCCTTACCAGGGGCACAGATTTTGGAATTCTGGTGGCAGAAACTGTTTTTGGACACAATCCTGGACTGTTTTTTTATTATCTAAATCATGTTTATTTTCAATAAATATTTTGATATTAATATTGTAATCACTTAATAAATGTCTTAACTAAATTGAGCATAAAAATCTTACTATATTCCAAACCCAAGCATAAGTATCTCCTTGTATCTGTTGTTATTAATTATTCCAACTTCTTAGAAGTAAAATAATTGAAGAATAGAGAGAGCAATGTGAAAGTGTCTTTAATTTACTGTATTTTTCATCAACTGTAAGTCTTCTCTCCCTTTTCTAATCAGAATTATAAAAGTAACTTTTTTTTGACTAATCTGACTCTAATTTTTGGCGGGCAATTTCATATATGTTACAATTTCCATAACTCCTCTTATTTAAAAAATAACCCTTAACCCTAAGCATTCCTAACCTTCAAGCAGACAAAACTTTCTGTGTACCATCGTCCAACTGGCAAACACATCTCCATGTACTGATGCCGTTTGTTTTGTCTATTTGTTGGTTGGTTTGTTGGTTGGCTGATTTCATTCCTCAGACTCAGCTCAATTTTATTTCTCTATTTTCTTAATTTTAAAGTTGTTGTAATTGTTTGACAATTATCCAGAGTCTCTGATAGAAAAAGCATCCATCATCATTCAAAATTTTTAGCTCGTGAACTTTAAATCCAAAGTAAAGTGACAGTAAGTCTTTACCTCTTCTATAGATCAGTTCACAAACTAGTCACTTTTTCTCCCTAAAGTTATCTTCATGATATAAGTGTTGGTTTCAGGCTGGCATATAATCCACCATTCTCTCCTTCTACCATTCATAGGTTTTAACAGCAGCTTCTGTAGCTTTAAAACTGTTAACAGTGATAATTTCTATTTGTAATTGTATTCTCATTTCCCCCTTTGAATAAAGTACTAACAACATCTTGATTCACACTATTTTGTGTCTGTGTGTTCACACGTGTACGTGTGTATATGTATATATACAAACCTATGTGCAGTCATACATGTGTGTATACATATGTATATATGTATATATACAAATATACACACATATATGTATATATACAAATATACACACATATATGTATATATACAAATATACACACATATATGTATATATGTATATATACAAATATACACACATATATGTATATATACACACATGCACATCTATATACACATGCATGTGTGTATGTATAATAGAATAAATCATAGCAATTCCACATTTTATGTGATTTTCTTGATCTGTTTTCTAGGTGTGAGGCTACAGGAGACTGGCTTGCCTCCATATTTTCTAAGCACATCTTTCTCCTTGGGTCCTTTCTCTGGTAATTCAAAAATATTTCATCCCTAAATCCACATTGATTTCTCATTTTCTTTCTAGTTTGATAGAAATTGTTTTCATATAATTGATACTTGCCAGTGATACTATTGAATTTTCTTTTTTCTTCTTTCTTTTCAATCCCAAGTCCCAAATACCACTTTAAGTTTATAGTCTCACTTTTTCTTTTTTTTGTAATCTTGAAAGCTTGTGGTTTTTCCACTCCATACATACAATTCGAGAGAAAATGTCATTATAGAGTGAACTCTCAAAATGTGTCCAAAAAGATTCTTAATCAAATCAATGTGATAGTAAAGGTGCCATCAGCTCTAAGTTTTATAAAACGTCATAACTGTTGATTAGATATGATAGCAAGTTATCATCATTTAATTCAGTGCAGGACATTTCCTGTGGCAGAGAAAGCTTCTCAGTGCAGAATTACTGTAATCTTCTCCAGAAAGCAAACTAAAGTAAAACATCTGAGTAAAATACATCTTTTGGAGGAAAGATTACCCACTTTTCTGTAAGAAAACATGATACTCTCCTTTTCATAGAGTGACACAGTCAATAAGCATCCCATGGATAGTTAACAGTGTCACTGAAGCCTGTGATATTTCTATTACTTGTGTAGGATGCTTAGAAATCAATTCTTTTCAACATCAAGATATTTTGTTTTTTTCAGGAAAGAAAAAGGTCAGAGCAGGAAGGTAAGTATGTGTTGAAGTAATTCAAGGAAAATACAGACGGCAGAAGAAGAAATGCATTTGAAGAAGAGTAGTGCACAGAACTTACAACAAAACATATGCAAAACAACACCAGATGCTTCACTGCACTGAGAGCTCATTCTAGCTGCAGCATTTATATAATGTTCCTCTCTGGAGTAATCTCGTCTGACTGCACTATGTTTCTTAGCACCATAAGAATTCTCAATTGTTTGTACTTTTTCTATTAGTCTTCATTCACATCCATCTGATAACTGGATTCCAGCTATGAAGAGAGAAGGTCTGAGCAGAGGCCAGGCCATAACATGGAAGGAACACTTGGCTCATATTCTTCTGCAAAGCAGAGGACTCATTGTCTGATTCCATGGTCAATTCCAGGTCTCCATTTACACCTAGAATGGCCAGGAGCTCACATGGGCCTAGTAAAAGGGGCTGTATGGCCAACTTTTCTTGTTCCTATAACCAAAGCTTAAAAATTATATTTTGGGAAAATGGGTTTCCATAGACTTAAACATTTAACAAACCTTTTTGTATTCATGCTATTTATTTTACTTTTTCAGCTGCTTTCTATAGAAAGAAAGCCTTGGGAACCAAAAAATCACTTTTGTTTTTCATTTTAATTTTGATGTAGTAAAAAATTTCAGAAACTGTGCTATAAATGCTGTAGCCTTTTACAGAGGCTTTGGGTGTTTTTCTTATTAACTTATGTCAGGCGGCCTTTGACTTTGTCTCTGTTTAGTGGGGGAAGTAACTCAGGGAGTGTGTAGTACATTTATTAAATGACATTTTAAAATTATACCAGGATTCTTGGCATTCAGAGCACAATATTTATTTGTTATCTCAAAATATCCCACAAGCCAATTATACAGTGGTTTATCATTATACATTTTCATTAATATTTATTCCTTCAGGATTCTTACTTGTAGATAGTAGAACCCACTCATTTCTAGAAGCTGGGGATTTACTACGGATATTAATTTTGTTACACACTCACCAGGAGAGGAGAGAACTAGGCAGGGATTCTGCATATTTGGGAACTATACACAAACAAAAGAAATCAGAAACATTTATGAACAATTATATGCAGACATTATTGTAGTGGAAATGCTTCTCTACTCTCACTGTCACCTAAAGTAATAGGGAATAAACCCAAAAACCCTGCTTCTGCTTTCCCCCAAAACCAGTTATGTTCACTGACAGGCTTGCTAGCAGATAGGGTCTCCTGTGGTCAATTACTGTCTTATTTCCACTTTTGAGCATCATAAAGACACATTTGATTGGCAGACACAAAAACACAAAACAATTTAGCTGAAAGCAAGCTTGAGAAATGCATGGTTTAGGTTTCCAGATTCTGTAATATAGGAAGACATGTAGAAGTAGTTTGAAAACACATGAGTGTGACTTCGACAGGAATCTATATGTCAGTTGTTGTCACCTATACTTGAAATTTTAAATACATGTGGCTTGAATCTCATACACTCTAACTTACAGAAGTTCAATGGCTTCTCCACATTTTGTGAATTCCTGGGGGTTTAAATTCTCTTGGACACACATTAGTTTGATGATATACTGTTTCCATTAGGTAACTGCTCTTCATTTCAACCTATATCCTGAGAATTCGGCATCTCTGAGTTGATCCAGAGTTGAATCAATGTCTCAATCACTATGCATGCCTGCATTTATGTATTTTAAATATTCTTTTAGTATTTTGGTATATTTGAGAGGGGTTATGTAATTAAATTATGTTTTGCTTCAGCTACTACTGCCATCACCAATTCCTTCAACCCAGCTAGTTGTGGAAGACATGTTACTCCACCAACACACCCACAAATTCCCACTCATTTCTTATTTATCAGTGTTTATCTACCTCTTCAGATAACCCTACCTCATTCGAGATACACTCAGAAGCCTCACGTTTAAAACAAAATATATTCCCAAACTGGACAGCCCTCTTGGAAATAATTCTGTATCCACCTCTTAAAATATTGATATCTCCCCAATAAAGACATAAAGCCTCAAAAGTAAAAGTGAACTGATAGCAATAACTTAAAAATAAATTATGTAGGCTGGGGGCGGTGGCTCACGCCTGTAATCCCAGCACTTTGGGAGGGCAAGGTGGGTGGATCACCTGCGGTCAGGAGTTCCAGACCAGTCTGCCCAAAATGGTGAAACCCTGTCTCTATTAAAAATACAAAAATTAGCCAGGTGTGGTAGCGGGTGCCTGTAATCCCAGCTACTCAGGAGGCTGAGGCAGGGAGAATCACTTGAACCCGCGAGGTGGAGGTTGCAGTGAGCCAAGACTGAGCCATTGCACTCCAGCCTGGGCAACACAGCAAGACTCTGTCTCAAAAAAAAAAACACAAATAAATAAATAAATAATGTTATAATAACAATGCTCATTACAGAAGATTTTAAAAAGTGTTTATAAATTATAAAAATATAATTCTTGCTCAAACATTTTAATAGTCTCTCCAAAGAACTAAAATACATGTGAGGACAAATAAACTTATAATAATAGGTAACATGCAACATAATAAGAGTAGCACAGGTACTATATAGTACTAGAGTTTGAAAAAATGGAGGTATAAATATGAAGGTGAAAATGATGATTGGTCATTGCCAAAGGAATACATATACTTATTAACTTGCTCTTCCATCCTGTAGACACGCTCCAATAAAGCATCAAGTGAAGCAAATCTTTCTTTATAAAATTAAGGCTTGATATGCACAAATCATAATATTCCCCAGTTAATTTCAAAAGTGAGAGATACTGTTTTCAAAAATAAAAGTTGTATCTGATAATGTTTTGATGTTTGTATTTAAACACATTATAAACACCTGCAATAAATTCCACTTAAATGTATCTTTAATTTGCATATTATTTAATAAGACAAAGGCTAGTCAGTATTCTGATGATGAAGACTATTAACATGAACTGTCAACAACTAAAATTCAAGGGTTTTAATTCATATTTCTCTTTACTTGTATATTAATTATTAAAAAGTTATTGGAATCAATAAGTAATACAGACTGTGAATCCTTTTAACATTCTAATTGCTTAAATAGTTTATCAATTTATACAGAATTCTGTCAATCTCATGTAAGAAATGCTTATCTGAACTTCACGTTGTAGTGTTTGTTCTTTCAACTCTAGGATATTGTTCAGTTCACCTTTATTCCCCATTGTGTCTTTATTGAGATTTGCATATGGAGTTACTCAAAACAAAAGTATCAAAGAGTAATAAATACATGGGAGAAAATAACCAGTTGTTGAGAAAGGAAGAAGAGCATGTAGTTGATTCACTTGTGTCTTTTTATTCACTGATTGTCACTATTATTATAATTGATCCTAATGGGCCACAATAGAAAACATAAAACTTCTCCCTTTAAAGCACCAGCGAATGCCTGATACATTTTCCACTGTAGCTTTGTAGGGTTCTGTCTTCTGGATTTCTCATTCTGTTAGTCTCATTCATTGTCTTATCTTTGTGGATCAGCTTTAAAATGTCAGTGTCTTCTGCGTTTCTGCTTTTGGTCCTTTTGATTTTTTTTTTTATTATTCTTGTTCTTTTTGGGTTCTTTTGACT
Source organism: Homo sapiens (assembly GCF_000001405.40). Lineage (NCBI taxonomy): Eukaryota > Metazoa > Chordata > Mammalia > Primates > Hominidae > Homo > Homo sapiens. The sequence goes on along the minus strand of NC_000005.10, from coordinate 20,587,086 downwards.
ATCATAAATTATTTCCTAAATTCATATCTTCAGTATAAACAACTGTCATAAGTACCAGAAAACCACTTAGTGAACAATTATGAGAATCTACATCTATATGTCCATCAGAAATGCAACATAATCATTTCCCAAACCACAATATACCTTTTTGTCTCCATCATTACTCAGCATCAAGATAAACTCATAATTAATCTCTGTCTTCACATTCACTCAACATTCATTCATCAAATCTTGTACATTTTATCTAAAAACTGCTCAAACATTTACTCTCATCTCCATTCCCACAGCTAATGCCTTTGCAAAAATATCCCACTATCTCCTGTTGCCACAGATTATTCTTTCTAAAGCATTACTATTATTATTATTCTCAATGATATTATTTCTTTTTTTTCTTTTTTAATTTATTTTTTTTTTAATTTTACGTTGAGTTCTGGGATACATCTGCAGAATGTGCAGGTTTGTTACATAGGTATACATGTGCCGTGGTGGTTTGCTGCACATGTCAACCTGTCATCTAGGTTTTAAGCCCCGTGTGCAGTAGGTATTTGTCCTAATGCTCTCCTTCCCCTTGCCCCGCCAGCCTCCGACAGGCCTTGGTGTGTGATATCTCCTCCTTGTGTCCATGTGTTCTCACTGTTCAACTCTCACTTAGGAGTAAGAATATTTGGTGTTTGGTTTTCTGTCCCTGTGTTAGTTTGCTGAGAGTGATGGTTTCTAGCTTCATCCATGACCCTGCAAAGGACATGAACTCATCCTTTTTTTATGGCTGCACAATAATATTATTTCTAAAGCATTATTCTTTCCACAAATATTCTTTCTAAAGTATAATTATATCATTATCATGATTTTATTTCTTTGATTTTTTTTCACAAAATTTTAGGGAAAATGTATATGCTATTAGAAACAAAAACAGACACTGATTTCATTGTTTCCTCACATTCTGATCGGTTCTTAATGTGAAGTGCAAAATCACCTACTATGCCTACTTCAGTGCCCTGTTCTATCTTAAATAGCCTGTGAACCCAAAGCTAAGCTCAAATATTCTCTTCCTTTTTATTTTATTTTACTTTATTTTTTCCTCTATTTTGAAATCTTCTTAAATTTTCACTGTGTTCATCACACCTGTATGCTCATCTTCCAATATGTTTCTGACTTTTCCATTTCCATGATTCTTAGTGCTCTAATCTTATTGCAGAGCTTACTCATATTAATACTTATATTTATGTACATTACATGTAATTAAAAATATATAATTTTTCTATTAGATTTGACAACTTGAACATAGAAAAATAATCCTACTTACATATTTAAATTGCCAGCTCCTAGTAGATTACTTGGAATATTAAGTATTAATAATATTTTTGGAATACATTAATTAATTTACAAGAATAATGTTTTCTATAAAACTTAACTCTTCTGGCTTTCAAATAAATAAACTCTTCCTCTTTGTAAGTACTAAATTCCCCATGAAAGCTTTTGGTCCCACCTTCTTATTTTCTTTGTGACCTTAATATATTAAGCATGTCTCTCTTATTTGCTTTCTCAAGTTGTCTTTTTCAACTAGTTCTTTCCCTTATCTACAGAAATATACTCTTTAACACCATTTATTAAAACAAAGGGTTGAAATCTCTGATGCTCAGAGTATGCAGAATATTAATTTCTCTCTCTCTCTCTCTTTTTCCTTTTCTGCCAAATTTCTTATAGAAAATAATCATCGCTTTCTATGAATCTTTTCATTGCTGAGGGTTCCAAGCTGGTGAGCACAACAAGCCCGGGAAATCCATGCAATCTTACATATTGGTGCCACTGGAAATTTATGATCTGCAGGCACAGCTGGGGCCTCAGGGAAGCTCTGCCAACCTTCTCCTTCTCCTTGGTCAACTTACCCTGTAATGGAACTCAGTACCTATTCCTATTCTGCATAGCTCTCCAATAGCCCCCCTCCTAATACTTCCTACCATTCACCTTCACTCTCAACACATGGCTCCAGTGGTTGTGAAACTCCCTATTTCTCCCTCCCACTAGCCACTATAACACCATTCTACTTTCAGTCTCAATGATTTTGTCTACTTTAAGGACCTCATATAAGTGGAATCATATATTATTTGTCTTTTGGGTACTGGCTTATTTCACTTAACACAACACCCTCAAGATTCATTTATGTTGTAGCCCAATGCAGAATTTTCAGCCCTTTTTAAACACTGAATACCAATCCATTGTCTGTACCTACCAACTTTTAAAATTCCATTTATCTGTCAATGGAAATGGGTTGCTTCCATGTTTTAGCTGTTTTGAATAACGTTGCTATGAACATAGGTGTAAAAATATCTCTTCAAGACCCTCCTTTCAATTCTTTTGCATATATATGCAGAAGTGGAATTGCTGGAGCATATGGCAATTCTATTTTTATTTTTCTGAGAGACTGCCACACTGTTTTCCACAGCAGCTCTTCCATTTTTCATTCCCACTAATAGTGCAAGAGTTCTAATTTCTCTTCTTCCTACATCCTCACCAACGGTTATAATCTTCTGTTTGTTTGTTTTTCATAGTAACTATCCTAATGTTTTTGAGGTGGTCTCTCACTATAGTTTTGATTTGAATTTCCCTAATGGCTTAGTGATATTAAGCATCTTTTCATGTGCTTATTAGCAATTTACTTATCTTCTTTGGAGGGAAGTTTATTCAAATGTATTGCCCATTTTTGAATTAGGTTGTTTGTTTTGTAGTTGTTGAATTTTTAGGAGTTGTCTATTTATTTTGGATCCTAATCTCTTATCAGATATATGATTTGCAAACATTTTCTCTCATTTTGTGGGTTGCTTTTGTGCTCAATTGATAAAACTTTTTGATGCACAATTTAAAAATTATGAATTTTAATTTTAACTATTTTTTCTTTGTTTCCAATGGTTTTGATGCCATATCCAAGAAATAATTAACAAATCCTATGTCATGAAGCTTTTGCCATAGTTTTTGTCTAAGACCTCTGTGGTTTTAGAACATACAGTTAGGCAACATTTTTATTTACTGGATCAACGGATCATAGATTGAGTTAATTTTTGCATATGCTATTAGATAAGAGACCAATTTTTGTTTGTTTGTTTGTTAGCATGTGGATATCTAGCTTTTCTTCACCTTTTGTTGAAAAGACCATTTTTTTTTCCCCGTAAGTGATCTTGGCATTTTTGTCAAAAATCACTTGCTAATATATGCAAGGGTTTATTTCTGTAGTCTATTCATTACATTACTGTGTGTGTGTGTATATATATATATATATATATATATAAAGATATATATATCTGGCATAAAGATATATATATATACACACACACACACACACACACACACATATATATCTTTATGCCAACAGTACAGTGTTTTAATTACTGTGGATTTGTAGTAATTTTTGAAATCAGGAGTTGTGAGTCCTCCAACTTTGTTCTTTCTTTTTAGAATTGTTTTGGATACTCAGGATACCTAAAGATTCCATATAAACTTTAGAATAATTTTTTTATATTTCTGCAGAAAGATAAGCAATCGGGATTTTAACAGAGGTTGCAATAAATCTAAAGATTACTTTGGATAATATTGATATTTTAACAATAGTAAGTTTTCCAATCCATGAACTTTTTTTTTTCATTTATTCATGTCTTCTTTAAGTTCTTTCCACAATGTTTTGTATTTTCATTGTATAAGACCTTAACCTCCTTAGTTACATTAATTCTTAAATATTTTATTATTTTTGATGTTAGTATAAATGAAATTGTTTTCTTAATTTCCTCCTGGTTTGTTTATGTTACTATTACAAAAAGCAACTGATTTTTTCTTGTTGACTTAGCACCTTGCTACTTTTCTGGATTTGTTTGTTAGTTCTAACAGGTTTTATTTTGTGGAACTTATAGTTTTTTTTTTTTAGGTAAGTTCATATCATGTGCAAAGATAATTTTACTTCTTCATGTTATTTGGATGTCTTTTTTTAAATTGCCTGATTGCTCTGGCTAATACTTCCAATACTATAGTGAATAGAAGAGAAGAGAGTAGTTACACTTGTCTTACTCCCCATCTTAAAGGAAAAGCTTTTAGTTGTTCATCATTAAATATAATGTTCACTGTGAGTTTTTCACATGTAGGTTTTTTTAATCATGAAAAGATAATAAATTTTGTTTATGTTTTTCCTCTTCATTATTTTAATATGGTATATTAAATTGCATTTTTTTATGATAAACCATTCTTGCATTTCAGAAATAAATCTCACTTGGTCATGTTGTAAAAGCATTTTAACATGCTGCTAACTTGAGTTTGCTACTATTGTAGTGTCACTTACTGGCTTTAGTATTAGAGGAATATTGGTCTCATATAACAAGTTACAGAATGTTTTCTTCTCTTAAATTTTCTGGAAAAGTTTGAGAAATATTGGTAGTTAGTTCATGAAATGTTTTGTAGATTTTACCAATAAGGCCATCAAGCATTTTGTTCTTGAGAGATTTTTGATTACTGACTCAATCTCCCTACTAGTTATATTTCTGTTTAGAATTTTTATTTTTTGTGGTTTATTCTTGGTCAGTTTAATGTTTCTAGGAATGTGTCTATTTCATCTATATTATCAATTTTCTTCATAATTTTGTTCAGTTGCTCATGACACTGTTATTCTCCATTTTATTTCTCTAAAGTCTGTAGTAAAGTCTACCCTTTCATTTCTCATTTTATTAATTTTAGTATTTTCTATTTTTTCTTAGTATATCTAGTATGTTAATTTTGTCAATTATTTTAAAGAACCAATTTTTGGTTTCATACATTTTAAACATATTTTTCTCTTACTTATTTTGTTTATATCTGCTCTATTTTTTCATATTCTTTATTCAGCTAGCCTTGGGTTTAGTTTGTTCTTCTGTTTCTAGTTTCTTTTCTTTTTTTTGAGACAGAGTCTCACTCTGTCGCCCAGTCTGGAGTGCAGTGGCGCCATCTTGGCTCACTACAAGCTCTGCCTCCCAGGTTCAAGCCATTCTCCTGCCTCAGCCTCCCGAGTAGCTGGGACTACAGGCGCTCGCCACCATGCCCGGCTAATTTTTTGTGTGTTTTTAGTAGAGACGGGGTTTCACCGTGTTAGCCAGGATTGTCTCTGTCTCCTGACCTCCTGATCCGCCCGCCTTGGCCTCCCAAAGTGGTGGGATTACAGGCGTGAGCCATGGCGCCTGGCCTCTAGTTTCTTAAGTCATAAGTTTAATGTGTTAAATTGATGACACTTTTTAAAAAGCTGTAAGCATTTATAGCTATACCTTCTTCTCTACCACTGCATTCTCTATGTCCTGTAAGTTTTGGTATGCTGTTTTTTTATTTTTAGTTGTCTCTAAGTATTTTCCATTTTGGGGGGGATTTACCGCCTAATGTGATCTATCCTAGAATATGTCCCAGGTGCACTTAAGAAGCATGTGTATTATATTGTTGGCTAGAGTGTTCTTGTATGCCTGTTAGATCTAGTTCATTCATTGTCATTCAATAATTCTATTTTTTTAACTTATCTTTTGCCTAATTCTTGTACCCATTGTGGATAACAGGTTATTAAAATCTTCAACTATTATTTTAGAACTATTTCTCCCTTCAATTTTATTAATTTTTGCTTCATATATTTTATGGCCTGCTATTTGAAAAAGGTATATTTTTATAATTATTAAATATTGTTCATTTACTAAAACTTTATTAATATGTAACAGTCTTCTCTGTCTCTTGTAAACTTTCTTGACTTAAAGTCTATTTTGTCTGGTATTAGTATGGCCATACCTGCTCTCTTTGGTAATTATTTGCATAAAATATACTTTTCCATTCTTTAGCGTCCCATCTATTTATGTCTTTGATTCTAAAGTGAGTCTCTTATAGATAGCATATAGGTGGATCATGTTTTTATCCATTCTGCCACTCTCTGTCTTTCAATAGTGAGTTTAATTTATTTACATTTAAATTACCAAGAAGGGACTTTACTCTGTAATTTTTCTGCTTATATTCTATCTGCTTTATGACTTTTTGTTACTTATTTCCTGTATTCTTCCTTCTTTTGCTCTTAGTTGATTTTTTGTAATAAAACATTTAAACACCATTTTCATTTTCTTTTGAACAATTCTATAGCTGCAATCTTTGTGGTTACCATAGGGATTATAACATCCTAAAGATACAAGAGTAACTTGAACTTACATAAGCTTAACTTCAATAGCATACAGTAACTGTTCTTGTAACAGGTCTATCCCACCCCCTTGGGTTTTTGATGTTGCAAAATTGCTTCTTTATACATTGTGTACCCCAAAACATAAACTAACAACTTTTTAATGCATTAGTCTCTTCAATTATATAGAAAACAAAACTTGGAGTTATAAACCAAAGTTACAATAATCATTTAGAAAAGAACAGGTAGAGTTTTACACCCTTGTACAATAAATAATACACGTGTTATAATTGTCCGTATGTTTACCTGAAACATAGATCTTTCTATGTTTCTATGAAAAAAGATTTTTCTTTTTTCATATGGCATTGAATAACTGTCTGTTGTTCTTTTATTTCAGACTGCATGACTCCCTCTAGCATTTCTTGCGGGAAGGTCAAGTGTTTAAAAATGATAATAAAAGCAAAACTCCCTAAGCTTTTGTTTAACTGAAAATGTCTTAATTTATTTCTCACTTTGAAGAACAGTTTTTCCAGATATAGGATTCTTGGTTGACAGGTTTTTAATTTTTTTCTCTTAGTGCTTTGCAAATATCAACCCACTGCCTTCTTGCCTTCTAAGCTTCTTATGGGAAATCTGCTAATAATCTTATGGAGAATTCATTGTATTTGCCTCTAAGCTTTTCTCCTGATGCTTTCAAAATTCCGTTTTTGTTTTTAGCTTTTAAAAGTTTGACTATAGTGTCTTGTTGTGAGTTATTTTGATACCATCCTACTCAGAATTCATTGAGCTTCCTGTGTACTTATATTCATGTTTTTCATAAAATGTGTGAACTTTTCAGTCATTATTTATTTAAATATTCTCTGTCTCTTTCTCTCTGTCTTCTCCTCAGCATTTTCACAGTGCATATGTTGGTCTTCTTGGTTGTGTCTCATAGGTCCCTTATGCTCTGTTAACTTTTCTTCAATCTCTCTGTTTTTTCAGACTCAATAAATTTTATTGTCCTAAGTTCCAGTTCACTGATTCTTTATTCTGGTTGTTCAAATCGGCCTTTGAATCCCTCTTGTAAAGTTTTCATTTCCGTTATTACACTTTTGACTCCAATATTTCTTTTTGGTTTTATTTTTAGGTTTTCTATCTCATTATTCTTATTTTTACCAAATATTGCATTATCTTCTTTACTTTGTGCATACCTTCTTTTAGTTCCTTGAACATCTTTAAAATAGTTGTTTTTGTGCTGGGCATATATTAGTTGTTCAATAAATAGGTGTTCAGTGGAAAACAAAATAATCCCCATGTTTGGAATAATAGAATAATCACTACATCACGAGTCCTCAGCTCAGAATTCTCCAAAAATTATTTCATTTAACATGCAAAACTCTATAAAATAAATATTATCCCATTTCACACATAAAGACAGTTAGCTTAAAGAGGGTAATTACATTAGACAAAAATGACACACAATCAGTCAATAAGCGTCTATTGAATTCTGAAGCCCATGTTCTTTATAATGTTGCCTAGTAGATCTGCCTTCAATTCTTTCTCAGGGACAGTTTTTATTTTTGTTTTGTTTTGTTTTGTTTTCATTTGAATAGACCATATTTTCCTATCCCTTTGTATGCCTTGCGATTTCTTGTTTAAAGCTAAACATTTGAATCTAATAATGTAGTAAGTCAGGAAATCAGACTATCCCCTTCCACCATAGTTGGCTGTTTTCTGTTTTGTTTTTGGTTTTCATTTTGTTGGTTTGGATTTGTTTGGTCATCCTGTTGTGTAAACATAAGGCCTTCTCAAGTATTTTCTGAGCCTACTCCATTTCCTGGGTATGCTTGGTAACTTTCTAATTTCATCTGTATACATGGTTGCTTTTGAATATCCTAGTCTTCAATGTCTAGCTCCTAAATGGAAAACAGAGAAAAAGGAAGAAGGAAAAAGGTACCAGCTCTATAAATCTCCTGAAAGACACATTACTTAGAGACGGAGAGGCTTGCAACATTGAGGGAAGTTGGGGCAACAGTGGCCACTATCTCTTCTTGTGCTCTTCTGTGATAAGCAATCAGTGGTCATAGCACAGATCTCCAATATTGGAAGGCAGGGTCATTTTTTTCTAACCCTGGCCACCACAAACTGTATGCAATCTATTCTAGAAATATATGCACAGCTGCCTGCCATAGGGCTTAAGAGCGGGATGCTAGCTGCTGCTGTGCTAAGAGCTTAAATGGACCAAATTAACTACAAATTAACCATCTAAGCTGTCACTGGAAGTTGTAAGCCTTCAATAGACTCTAGAGTTCTAAAATAGTTACATTAGTCAGATTCTGCCAGTGCAATTTTTGTCTACAGAGCAGAGATAGATTTTTGGTACATCCTACTCTGCCATCTTCCCAGAATCCCCACCTTTAGTTTTAAGTTGATTTATTTTTGTTCTTTCCACCTGATCAATTATATAACCCACAAAGTAATATCCAGATTATTAGTTTCTGTTATATTACCTGCTGGTTCCTGAAAACTCAACATTATAAAGAACATGGGCTTTGGAATTCAATAGAAGCTTATTGATTGATTGTGTGTCATTAGACAATGTAATTACCCTCTTTAAGCTAACTGTCTTTATGTGTGAAATGGGATAATATTTATTTTATAGAGTTTTTCATGTTAAATGAAATAATTTTTGGAGAATTCTGAGCTGAGGACTTGTGATGTAGTGATTATTGTATTATTCCAAACATGGGGATTATTTTGTTTTCCACTGAACACCTATTTATTGAACAGCTAATATATGCCCAGTACAATTCCTGAAAATGCTGGGGGGAAAGTGTTGTACAAAACCAGTTCTTTTCCATCATGAAGCTTATAGTGTAGTGGAAAATGCACATAACAAAAACAATGAAACAAGTTTAATTAGAGATAAATATTATGACACCAAAAACTGAGATGGAATGTAAGTAAGCAGGCTATTTGCCATTCACTTCTTTTTTTTTTTTTTAGTCATCCACCTAAGTTGAAAATTGAATGCTTTCCTAAGCTGCACTTCTTCTTATTAGGTTGCAGAGTCATGCAGAGACCTCATTTCAGAATGCTTTTTAATATTAATTTGTTCTGCTAATTTCCAACATAGGCACACTAGTTCTACTCATTATTACTCCTAAGGGAGACCCTCCCTAGTGATTGTTGTCTTTCACTGGGGTCCCATTCTAGTACTTAAGTGACACTATTTTGTTATATAGAGGCTCACAAAGCATACTTACAAGTTTACCACATTTCTGTTTGAAAATATAAAACTGAAATGCTCTCAATCCCCTATTACTGTCAGCTTGGCATTAAAAGTCTTACATATTATGAGCATTTCCCTTTTTTTCATTTACCTTCCTGGACCCTAAGTGTTCAGCCACCCATCTCACTTGGCTCTTCCACCACACCCCTCTCCCATCACCCACCTCCTTTAACACTTTCCTTTTGCTTCTGTTGTTCCTCCCCCTCACTACCATCATTGCCATCTCCTCCCTATAAATTGCTTTTTATTCTCTTTGATAAGGATCACTACAAGGTTATCTGTAAAAAAGATAGCCTTTTTTTTTTTTTATAGATAGGTCTTTCTGTTGTTCAGAGGAGCTATGATCTATCTTGACGACTTGTCACTCTTTGAATTATTGACGAAAGCAGGTGCTTACTTAAGAACTCCTCATTTACCTACCAGATTGTAAACTCCTGGGTGATTGACTACCCAAACTGCACTACACTGAAAATACCAAAAACGCAAAGTAGCCTGTTCTTTCCTTTACTTAATTAAATGTACGGTCTGATGCAAAGAGTTGCTCAATAAATATCTGCTGAACTGAGTCAATTAAATCAAAGAAGTGTGTCTCAGGTGTTACAACACTTCACAATTTAGATTTTAATTGAGTGTAACTTCATGATCACACCTACCTTATGACATTTTCAGTCTTCATTTACAAGATGCTTTGGCACATATTATAAATTTTTATTTGTATTATATGATGCTGAAGGTTGGAGCTGCAATGACTACTGCCTGGAATTGAATGCCAACTGGGAATTGAAGCAGTTAAAGATTCTTATACAATTTGCTTTAATGAATGCAGAAATGCAGTATTACAAAGAAAAAGTAACTAAAAGTTTAGTTGACCAACCGGTGTGAAATTGAGATAAGCAACCACCTCCTAATTAGAAATTGAGAAAGACTGCATTTCTAGGGTATGGCTAATGCGATCCCATATGCTCTTCTCTTTTTTCTTTTGCTTTTTTGCCCCCCTGGAAGCATGTGGGAAATGAGAAACCAGCCTGGTCTTCAATGGTTTGCTTTGTGCTTCTTTATTATGGTCAGTCACAGCAGTTGAGCAATGAATGTGTCACTTTAAGAAGAAAATCTTCTTAACCTGGAAGGGATGAATCAGGTGTGAAATGCTCTATTTGATACATTCAGAGGGAAACTTTTGTAGATTAATGCCTTAAAATTGAAAAAAAAAGTTTTATACACTGAAGTCTGACTCAGACCCTGGTTCAAAAATATCTACAAACATTACCTCTTGTTCTTTAGGAGAAACAAAATTATTTACCATGATTTTCTAAAATAAAATAGATAACATTTAAAATAAATCAGTATAATGAGGTGTTCTTTAATTGATCCTAGTGATACGGGCTACTGGAGGCATTACTGTTTTTAGCAAAGCATTTGTCAGTGTATATAGTTTTGTTACTGAATATATTCTTACATGTTTGAATGAGAAAGACCCTATCATACATTGCTACTCTGCAGCAATGTTTATATTGCAATAGATAGCAGGTGAGGATCATTATAAGTATCAGCTGGTTAAGAAGGGGTAAATTTTTAAAATGCAAAAATCAGCAGTAACACTAAGCTTGCTTTGAGCCTCTGCCCTCTCAAGCCTTATCTCTAAGGGAGATAAAATAATGAAAAACACTTGGCTAAACTGCTGGCAAAACTCTTATTGTTTGTACCACTCTTGGAAAAGACTCTTGGGACTAGCAGTGGAATCCTTGCTATTGATTGGCTGGTTAAATAGGGGACTATTAGCTTCAGACAGGCTAGATTGATTATACAGCAGCAGCATGAGCTGAGTCTCAGAGCTGAGCGAGCGTCAGGGTGAAAAGGAAAGAGAGAAAGAGAGAGAGAGAGAAAAAAAAGCGGGGAGAGAGAGAGAGAGAGGAACACAAGGTGGGGAGGAAGCCAGTGCACGTTCCATAGCATCACTACTGTGACTGCTTGTACCCGATAATCTTGCTCTGCAGCTCCCTCAGTGAACAACTTACTGAGGTGCCTTTCTTTTTACAAGAGGATGTCAGCTCTGAGCTCCAGCAAGAAATAACAGACTTCACCTTGGAATAGCTCATCTTACTCCTGCATCATTAAAGCGGATTTTCAAAAGAAAACAAAAATCAAGTCCCCTTTCCAGTTCCACTTTCTTCCAGCATTGAACAGGAACAGTTTCACGCTCCAGGTAAGGAAATGCAATTTTTATCTCTGGATTTCTTTTTAATTATTCACAGCAAAATACATCATAGCTTTGCATGTTTTTAAAACTGAGTTTTCCATGATGCATTAAAGTAAATTCTATACACAAGTATGTTGATTTAGAAATATGGAAATGCACACTGTGTTTATATTAATATATTTGCATTTAAAAAATATCTCCAGGTACAGATTTTTTTTTCAAAAATAAGGTCACTACATTGTAAGTTTCTGTAGCAGATACTCCACGTAAAGAAGAAAAATAAGCCAAGTTTATAATACAAAGTACATTTTTTTGTGACAACCTTACAATATGTTCATAAATATTGTTTTTAGCTGTTAAACTACTTTGGTAAATAATAGCATATCAAGAAAGGACCATTGCTGTGTTAACTATCAGTTATTATATTTTATGCAGACGTAGATGCTATCATATGCTTTTCAGTGATTGCTAGTGGTTTTTTTTTTTCTAAATCTGTCTTTAGATTGCAGTTTTAACTCTTCAATACAAACACAATATTTGTTAAATGATGTGACATTAGACTGCCCTCTTATTGATGGTCAGCATTTGTGCTTAAGAAAGTATTGAGCTAAGGCAAAGAAATGTGACTCTGGAGATGTTTAGCTATTTTAGAGTTCATTGCTTACCTGCAGTAGCATCAATTAATGTTTTGCATGTCAGTGATGCTACGTGCGGGTTAAGCATCTGTGAATATATGGGAACTTCGCGCATATTAAATCCTCTGCTGGGAAGAATAGAGTTTTTTAAAATGATATCTGAAATTGATGGGTTGGACTAGAAATAATGAGCTGGGGCAATGCAGTCCTGATGTATTTGATTGACCTTAGTTTTATAGGTCACAGATATTAACTGCTAAGGATAAAACATTGTGACAGAAAGAATTTATTTAATGCTTACTGGAACTCTAATGGTGTGTGACATTTTTATGTCAATTTGTTTGCTTTTGGATTAATTAAGAGATATTTTACCCCGAGAATTGCTCTGACTGTCCTTTTGAGTGAAGTTCCCTGAGTCACTCTTCTAATCAAAGAACAAACTGCCATCTGTGATAAGTCAGCAAAACTTTTTAATATGTTGTTCAACGTTTCAAAAAAGAACATGATTGCCAACCTTAGTAGTAGCCCACATGTCTGAATTTAGAATTATTACATACTCTAAATAGTTGTTTTTGTGTGTTTTATTCACCCTTATTTATATTTTAATTAAAAATGCATATTTAAAAAAACACTATTTTATGACGTTCATTTTGTCTTCTAAATGCGAGATGATATTTAGATGCTTCCTAATAATGCAAGTATTATTACAGCTACCTTGGTATTCTATTGATATAATCGTATCAGAAGTGAATAACTGAATTGTTGATATGAATTTTGGAAAGTACAGTTGGTCTTAGGAAGTAGAGAGATATGTATTAGAGAATAGTGATGTTTTTGTTTTTAAATTGAGTCATTTGTTTAAAAAAAGTATATATATATAAAATACTTAAAAGAAATATATATATATTTCTTTTATATATATAAATACATATATATATTTCTTTTATATATATAAATACATATATATATTTCTTTTATATATAAATACATATATATATATATATATATATATATATATATATATATTTCTTTTAAGTATTATATTTGGGGGACAAATGCCAAACCGTTAACTGAGAATGGTGACTGGCACTGTAAACCATATATTTATGTATATTGTTGCAGTATCATGCCAAATTCACAGACAGAATTTGTTTTAAATCTATTATAACCTTGTTTAGTTATTGTTTTGCTTATAATATTCAGATTGCTTTTAATAATTGTATTATTGCTTTTAATAATTGTATTCAAAATTGTATTTTAATAATTCCATTTTATTTATGCAAATAATCTGACATCTCATTCAAGGATGTAACTTTGTTTTAACTAATTCTTCTACTCATTTTTAAGTTTAATATACAAATTACTTTGAATTTTATAATTTTTGTTGCAACAACCTTAAGTATCCAAGTTGTTTTATACAGTTCAGTGTCCTCCTGGTACTTATTTATGGGCTATATTGGCTTATATGCAATTAAAAAAAAACGTAATTCTAATAGTATTGTGTGTGTTTTTATGAGACCATTAAAATTTTAGCATAAGTAGATGTAACATCAATGCTAAGTTTTTTTTCTGTGAATAGACATACTCTTCCTTCAAAAATACTTTTAATTTCTTAGCACTGTTTGCTTCTTGCACTAGGACATTCTTCTTAGCTTATACTCAATATTACTTTGATTCTCTTTTTTGTTTTCTTACAAATTCTGTAATTTCTCCTGTAAGAAATTTGATTTCCCATATTATTAACAGGAAATGGTCAATGATTAGAAAAAAAGAAAGTGTTTTTAAAAAACACTTCACACTTTCCAACTGTGTAATGAATATGTCTCCTGCATTCCAGATCAGTGCTTCTCTGCAAACATAATTGAGGAAGACAAGTGTGCTAGGAGTCACATATGTAAGCATCACCCTCAGTCTGAAATCTAACAGCTTACTTCACCAATTCATTTTAGGGATTCTCACTATTGTTTGCATTGTTGAGAGAGCTCTAGTTGACCTTTTATTCAACTCTCCATTTGCTTCCATAGTATCACATACCTTTCCTGATTACTCATTTTAGCCATTGTGAAACAAGAATTGAGAAAGTACAACCTCTTCTGTTTTTATAGATATCTGAGCCATTAGGGGGCTCTTTCTTCCTGTGTTATACTCATCAAACCACTGAAAGAGGTTATAGAGCTTTCTTGAAGTGTTTTCCCTATTTTTATAATGTGAATACTTTTAAAAGTAGCTTTATTCTTCTCCCCACACAAAGAAACATTTAAGATCAATAAGAAGCCCTTATTTTCACAGGTAAATGAGATATATCCTATGCTTTTCAAACTTACTGTCTTTAAAATATTCTTGTATATAATCTTTGAAAATAACAACGGCTTGAAATATTAATATGACCTATTTTAGGCAAATGTAAAGATAATATATTATGCAAACAGCATCATAAGAAATATAAAATATAAAATTAAGGCCAAACCTGAGGGAAGAAACATCCTTTACATGATCTCCACATCTCTAGGGACAGCACCGAAACTCAATGACTGTGGCTTCCATGCAGTTTGCTTTCAGGAGACAAGATCAGCAGGCAGCTAAAAAGAGAATATTACCTTTTTTTTTTCTTTTACAAAAATAGACATGGAAGAATTGAAGATAAAAGAATGTTTTACTATCCACACAGGCATAGAAAATGCATTTTTAAATTCCAGAAAATATTGTATGCTGACATTATATAAAGTTATCATTACATACACAGAAGTTCATGGGAGGGTGTATTACGGGAAGAAAGGGTATTTCCCTTATCACTTTTGAAAGCCATGTATATTGAATTGCACCGTAGACTTTCTTAATAAATGGAAAAACATTCCTCCCATCTCTACAGCAGTTAGAGATCTTCTCTTACTGCAGGACTTGGTTAGGGGTTACGCAGCATTTAATAATGAGTCCATGAACTTAGCCAGTCTAAGCTTTTTTCAAATGGTGCTAGCTCATGGAAAGAGAAAGAAGTGACATACACAATGTGAGTGACATTTCTTTTGAGAAGTGAGAGAAAAGGAGGAATTCTAAGCAATGAATCATGGAGTTCAATCATTTATTGAATAGCTCCTTGACTTATCAGTGTAGAAGTTGCTCAAATAAAATGGAAATATGAAAATGGTAAAGATATCTCCTTTACTGGTCTTTTCAGAGTAAATATATAGAGTTATTTTTCTCTGTTTGAAAATTTACATACCTTGATAATTGTGAATTTTGAATGCAACTAGCATATACAATATACAAAGCATATACAATACACAAAGTTCTGTGGAAATCATTCCCCATCTACTGGTATATAATATAATGCTGTTCTTTTTCACAAAATTAGATTTTGGTAATATAAATTATTAAGCAATGTGACTTGAGTGAGAATTCCGATGCTATATATTGATGTGAACCATAAATAAAATATGTTAAGGACTTTACTGTCTTCTAAAAAGAGATTATCTTTTATATTAAAGTAGCACAGAAATGGAGATGGGCTAAAATTGAAAATAAGACAAATAAATGAAAATGCAACAACTGTATAGAAACTTTTGTATGTTGCGAAATTTGGCCAAGAATCAAGAGACAAACATAACAATGAAAGGGATATATTCATGTTTTCTATTTAATGGTAAAGACGTAGAGGTGTCACTGTCATGTAATATTTCTATGTCTCACAGAGTATGAGAAAAATTCTCTCTAGAGATATGGAAAGTAGAAAAATGAGTAACTGAAATGGGTAATTTTTAATATAATAGGTTGATATCAGGCTTTGTAAGGAAACAAGAGGACTCATGTCTATTGGGTTTACTCTAATGGACTTAGATGATGTTAATAATTAGAAAGTATATGTTGGTTTCTATTTGCTCTCTTGTTGCTATGATCAATGAACCGAATTGTTTTCTCTACAAAATTACTCCTTGGCCTATTTGTCTTTGTGAAACTATGTGTGCATATGATTGGATGAGAATGTGTGTGTATATCTGGGTATAGTTGTTTTTATAAAGTCAGAATAACATAGAAATAGAATCACCTGTACTTTGCTTAGATATGACTTCAGATGGGTCCATCTGTTGCATTATTTCCTGTCCATTAGAACTCTGTCTTGAGTCATGTACCTTCATCCTTGAGCCAGCCCTGCTGTTTACTAAACTGCAGTCACTCTAACTTGTGAATGAGAGGATCTTGGCCCAGGTTACTGAGAATAGAGGAAGATAATGAATCAGACTAGAACATGATTTTATTAATCATAATATGAATAAGGTGTAAAAGAGAGTAGTGTTATTTACCTGTCTACCAGATATACTAATGTCACTCATAGGTTAAAAGTTATCCATTCTCACCCATCCTTGGCAGAAATAAAATGAGAGAAGATCCAGTAGTGAGGCATTATGTATAGCGAACATTGTTTTACGACAGGCAAAGCAAATGGGTTTCAAACAGCTATGGCACATACTTCATTTTTTTTTTAATGAACAGACTTTATTTTCCAATCAGTTTCAGCTTTACAAAAAATGATGGAAAAGAGGAGGGTTCCTACATACCAGTCATCCTCTGCCAGTTTTTCTTATGATTAACATCTTGCATTAGTGTGGTATATTTGTTGCAATGGAAGAACCATTATTGATTCACCATTATTAACTTAAGTTCATAGTTTATATTAGAGTTGACTCTCTGTAATGTATATTATATAAATTTTGACAAACATATAATAAGGTATATCCACGTTTATAGTATCAGACAGAACATTTTCATTGCCATTCAATTCTCCTGTGCACCACCTAGTCATGCCTTCTTCAGTTCCTTCTCCGTAACACCTGACAAGCACTGATCTTTTAATATATCCATAGTTTTGTCTCTCAGAATGTCATGTAGTTGGAATAAGGTAGGTAGGTTTGCTGATTTGCTTTTCTTAATCAACATGCATTTAAAGTGCTTCAATATCTTTTTATGGTTTGAGGGCTCATTTCATTTTATTACTGAATAATATTCTCTATGTTATGGATGAGCCACAGTTTGTTTATTCATTCATCTACTGAAGGTCATCTTGGTTACTACCAAGTTTTGACAATCATAAATAAAGCTGCCATAAGCATTAATGTTCAGTCTTTTGTGTATATGTAAGTGTTCAACTCATTTGGGTAAATACCAATGAGCATGATTTCTGGATTATATGGTAAGAGTTTGTTGTTGTTGTTGTTGTTGTGGTTTTTGAGATTGAGTCTTGCTCTGTTGCCCAGGCTGGAGTGCAGTGGTGTGACCTTGGCTCACTGCAACCTCCACCTCCCAGGTTCAAGCAATTCTCCTGCCTCAGCCTCCCAAGGAGCTGGGATGACACCACGCCTGGCTAATTATTTGTATTTTCAGTAGAGATGGGGTTTCCCCATATTGGCCAGGCTGGTCTCGAACTCTTGACCTCATGATCCGCCCGCCGTGGCCTTCCAAAGTGCTGGGATTACAGGTGTGAGCCATGGCGCCTGGCCGAGCATGTTTATTTGAAGGAATGATTCAGAATATTGGCTCGTAGTACAAGCTATATAAATGATTTTGAAAATGTTTTAATGTCTCTGACTTTCTTTTCCTCTCCATTCCCCTTTTCTTTTCATATAAAATGGAGGGCAATGTAGTTGGTTAAACAGTCTCATGTTCTAATATTATATGAAGGTGGGTATGTACACGACTCGTAGCCATCCCACTGAACTGCTCTGCAGCTGTTTTCCTGCCTACTCATTGAAAGCAGCATGCAGTTATAGTATAATAGGTGGGTTAATGTGTATAAGCCCCTTCAAAATAGAAAGTGTTAGAGATGAATATGGGTGCATTATGCAGTGAATATGATTAGATATCCCTTAGAAACAAAATGTAAAGTACTTGGTGAGAGAAAGCTCTTTAAGGAAGAAAATCCGAGTTAGAGATTTTCTTATGCCCCCCTTTGGTGCATTTATTTGAATTTAAAAGATGTTAATATTGGAGGCAAAGGATTGGACTAGCTTGCTCACAAACTAATTACATTTTGGAAGGACTCTTGAAACAATACACAGACAAATGAGTGTACGAAGCATAAATAAGACGACCAGTTTCTCAAGATGTTTAGTAGTCCTCGGAGGAATAGATAGAAAATGTTTTTAAAATGCCATAATTTTCTCTCAGTTGCCGTCTCTGTCTCTGTATATGGATATGTATGTTAGCATATTTTTTCTAGTGAATTAATTTATATTCTGAAATGCCCACTCTTGACATTCATTTAATAATTTTAGTTTGCTTTTAATATTCTTTTTCATAAAGTTTAGTTGTTGGCTGGCAGAGGTCTTAGGGTATCATTTCTACCATCTAGTTATTGAGTGCTTCTGTCATAAATCAATATAATTAACTCCTTGACTTGAACTCAAGTACTAACCAATGTATTGTTAAAAACATTACTTAATAAAGTTTTCCTTCAATCTAAGTGACAGAACATTTTGACCCATAGCAGCAACATTATCACTGAGAATACTAAAGGTTTTCCAAAAGGAATTTTTGAAACCCAATTATAAAATTCCTTTGATAGAGGGAAAAAGAGAGTAGGTCATTGGGTTTCAAATCCAGGTCCTTCTGTCTCTCAAGTTCATTTTCTTTAACACTAGGTTAAGTTGCCACATTCACTCTAGAACCTTAGAGAAGGCTTTTTAACATTTGTCAGCCTGTGTTTGTCGTCTTTATAATAATGGCATGTACCTTATAGGGCTAATCTACAGGTTCAATGAGGTTCTAGAGGTAAAAAGCTTAGAAGAATGACTGACAAAATCACAGACATATAAACAATAGCAGGACTCATATTTACACTCAGTGCTTCTAAATTCACAGTTCTCGAAAATGTGATCTAAACTATCTTCTTCCTAACCTTCATTTAAGCATCCAAGAAAAATTTGCTGAACAAGTCCTAAATATGACATTTTATTCTTATTCAAGGGGCTGCAAAGACGAGTAAAACCGATTAGGCATTCTCCATCTAGTAGACAAGGAAGAAAACTGTCCCAGTCATTAAACTGTTGTCTTTTGTGTTTAAATGTTCCAGTCTGTCCTCTCTTCTATGATGCTGGACTGGGACTGAGGCTCTTGAAAGAACATTTCTCCTTTTCCAGCTTGCTACTCATTAGGATCTGCCAAGAGAGTACTATATGGAGTTGCAAAGCAGGATGAAAAAAAAGCACATTCTCATATCTTTTCTATTTGCTTCCCTTGTCAGCCTGACCTTATAATGCTCTTCACCTCCACAGCAGTGGGCAATTCCGGAAGCATTTGCTTCTGGTTTCCAGCTGTTGCTAGTACTCCTAAAACTAGCCTCACTGTGCCAAACCTCATTGGTTACAGCACCAGGCAGGCACTGCTTATTCCATTGCTCCATGGGGCCCCTTCTCCATCTTTTAGGTTCTCATATTCTCAATAAGTAGCTGTCATTGAGAAAACAAAATATTTCAAAGTCATTTGTTTAAAAAAGGTGAAAAATATACTTCAACACAGAGAGTGTAAATTGAAAGTTTATGTCACTTTCTAAAAAGCATTTATTTGAATCTAAAAGATCTTAGAAAAAGAACCAAAGAAGTCTCTTTTGTTCTCCCAGCCCTAGGGATGGTGGCTGCTTCCAACATTTAAAATATTTGTTACCTCGCTGTTTCCTTCTTTATTTTCAATCTTCCAAGAAATGTATTAAATATTCTATTGAAATAACTGCTGTGCTTTCTGTTTTCCTGACTCAATACTGACTGAATAAAGAGTTCATGCTTGAGTGAATAAAGAAGAGTTGATAACAGAAAATGAGTGAGCTACCAACATTGGGTCCAGGGAATTGGTTTGATCATGGCGTTTGGCCTTCAATACAGTATTGAACAATTGGCTAATGGTAATTGGAGTACAAGTAATCTATAGTATGCAATCGCTTTTCCAATTACTCAAATAGCCAGCTATGTTTATTTGTGGTGCAGGCCTTCTGAAGCAAAGATCGTGTAACCAAGCGGTAACTGTCTTTCACTCTTTGTTCGTAATGGTGATTACAAGACTATAAGATGAAATCATTGTTTTAATTGTACTTGACAGCTTACAGATAAACAAATAAGCAAACAAGCCAAAAAAATCACACATGTAAGCTCCTGGCTTTAAATCAAGAGAATTAGGCTGGGTGCAGTGGCTCACACTTGTAATCCCAGCACTTTGGAAGGCCTAGGTGGGCGGATCACGAAGTCAGGAAATTGAGACCATCTCGGCCAACATGGTGAAACCCTGTCTCCACTAAAAATACAAAAAAAAAAAAAAAAAAAAAATTAGCTGGGCATGGTGGCGCGAACCTGTATTCCCAGCTACTTGGGAGGCTGAGACAGGACAATCACCTGAACCTGGAAGGCAGAGGTTGCAGTGAGCCGAGATCGCACCACTGCACTCCAACATGGTGACAGAGTGAGACTCTATCTCAAAAAAAAAAAAAAAAAAGAAAAAGAAAAAAAATCAAGAGAATCAGAAAGCTTTTAAGGCCATCTGAGTGGCTTTGGGTTACAATGAGAAATTTGAAACAACTGAGTCTCTCTTGTCAACAACGGAAGCTTCCTTCCTCTGCTTCCTCTGAGTATGTAGCCTAGCCTTCTATTACTTGATGATCCAGAGTAAATCACCTGAGGTACTTGCCCTGCAAAAGTAGCCCATTTTCTTCCAGATTTAGTCATGCCCTTAGTATCTCCTGACTTTACTAATTAGAGTCAGTGCTCAGCCTTATCTAGAATATATATAAAATCTGGCCCAGGAGGAATTAGCTGGCACTTCAAAATATTTGCAAGATTTTGTTAATTTATGTCAGCAAAAATCAGGGAATTGTGTGAGATACTAGATTTTAAGAGAATTAGACAAAAGATGACAAAACATAATACTGGATTTGGCCAAATTCTTCAGTATGGGTGTACCTACCAGAGATCTATATTTAATAGGGTTGCTTGCACAACTGAATATAGCACTAAGGGATTAGTTGGTTAGTTGACAGAAAAGTGTGTTCAACAGTGACCTACCTAGAAGGTTAAAATGCTGGAACTTTTTTTTTTTTTTTATCATAACGTACAAGGAGGAACGCAAAGGCTCAGGAAGACTGGAATGTTGAAGCACATTGATTATATGCAGGCTTACTCCCCACTGTCTTTCACTTCTCTCCCACCTAGAGGTCTCAGGATATTCCATTCACAAAAGCACTAAGAAATAAGTAAAGATGAGAGTACCAGAATATTTCAAGCACCAATTTAAACATTTTGTAGTGCCCTCCACAGCAGTCAAGTTGTGATGGTGGGAGATGTCACCATTGATATGGGCTTCCTGATATCAATGAAGATGGAGAGATTCCAGAGGAATAGAAGCCAAGGAGCAATGCTTAATTAACCGCCACAGCTAAGATTTTGCACTTACCAAGTAAGCAGCAGGAACTAAGTAGTAATCAGGATTTTACTTGCAAGGATCTTTGCTGTTAGCCAATGATTATACTCTTTCTACTAAAATTTTACTGAGTATATACAACAACAACAACAACAACTTTAGGTCTATGATCAGAAACCTGACTTGAGTTCCCATAATGAAAAATCACGGCCCCTTAACTGGTTCTCAAAACAAGGCCAGTTCACATATATCTGAAACAACTTAATTAACTGGGATGGTGGATTCCCTTGAGTAAAGAAGAGCTATTCTGCATCGGGGATACATTGTAAATTTCTGCCAAATCCTTCTTCAGAGGAAGCTATGGTGACTCACTAGGGTGATCATACATGAAAGAGAAAAAATATGTCAATTTTTAAAATGTACTCACTAGCTTTGAAGTGGTGCTAATTTCTGGTGACCCAAAATATACTGTGATCTCCCAAAGTGACTGATTATGGTGGTCATGTGATATATAAAGTTTTGCCGTACATTTAAATCATAATGAACTCAGTTATTTTGTTAAACTACATCATAATTCTTTCCTTACTTCCTGAAACTATACTTAATATAAAAATAATTGGCTAAAGACAATGTCTTTCTGTTAGATCTCTGACCCTTACAGTGAGAATATTATGGGTTAAAGAGCCAAATGGAAACCTCATGAAATTTTCTTCCCTCTAAAATGCCAAAAGTAATACAGCATTTAATTACTGCTAAAATGTTTTTAAATGCAAGATGTTATGCAAAAGGGAACAGACAATAAAGAAGAAATTAACTTTGCCTTGTTCATTGCTAAACCTGAAAAGAGATTCCAGAGCACTTGATATTTGAGTTGTATTTAAAATGGTGATTTTGGGAGGTCAAGGCAGCTGGATCACCTGAGGTCAGGAGTTCAAGACCAGCCTGGCCCAACCAGAGAGATGGTGAAACCCCGTCTCTACTGAAAATACAAAAAATTAGCTTGGCATGGTAGCATGTGCCTGTAGTCCCAGATACTCAGGAACCTGAGGCAGGAGAATTGCTTGAACCTGGGAGGTGGAGGTCTCAGTGAGCAGAGATTGCACCAATGTACTCCAGCCTGGGTGACAGAGCGAAACTCCATCTAAAATAAATAAATAAATAAATAAATAAATAAATAAAACTGTGATAATAATGCAAGAAATAATTGTGGGAAGATTAAGAACGATTATGGAGGGATGTGAAAATTGCATGTTGTTCACCATGGCTGAAATGTAAGGTCGTTATGAGGAAGCAGGAAGTATGGGCCCTGGAGAGATAGGTGAACCGATTGTGGAAGTATATAATTATTACTATGCTAAGGAAAATGGATGTTGTGAATAAGTCTTTGATGGTTTCTAAATCATGGGGTAACATGATCTAATTTGATCAAAAGATAGAAGTAGGGTACTTATTAATAGTCATAGATTAAACTTACCATGGGTTCCTTCTATAACTAGAGGTTACTGGGGCAAATATATCACACATAGGCTTCTCTACTAGTTTATTTAATTTCAAATGTTAGCCTCAAGATCAGAGCGCCATTTTGTTTTGGCTAATAATATGAGTTTAAGGAGCTCTTTTGTGACTACTATGGTACTAGATGTAATGTAAATAAATGAGTTACCTAAGCAATAGAGCTCTCTAACATATCAGTTAGTATTTTGTGCATACTAAGTACACTTTAGATTTGTCACAACCAGTTGTTTAATTTGAGCCTGTGAATGGGTACCTGAACTGCAGCAGCAAAAGATTCTCAAACTCATGAACACCAATTTAAAACGTATACATATGTAACAAACCTGCACCTTGTACACATGTACCCTAGAACTTAAAGTATAATAAAAAAAATTGACATTTAAGTAGTTTCCTTTCTAAATTTTATTTATTTAAAAAAACACACAAAAAACGAGTGAACTTACTGTCAACAATTTAACTGTCAACAATTTAATTGGGGAAGATTAAGAAGCCATTCTAGACCTGGCTATGCCAAAAGTATAAAAGTATATTCCTATTCTGTTAAGCTTGAAACTGTGCTTCAAAATGCTGATCACACAAGAAACAATTGTTTGTCTACATTTTAACTTGTAAATTTCAGACTTTTGTTATTGTGTTTAGATGATACTTTCATTTATGAGCTCTCACATATGTCAACATTTCCGTTGACACCAATATACTTTTTCTCACTCTGCCCCATCCTCTATTTTTCAACTGTGAAGTAATTGAAAAATAAAAATATATTATTTGTTGCAGAGACATTTATGCTTTTTTTGCTGTCATGTTATAACTCCTAGAGTAATGATTAACTCTGTGTGAGTCAGCTCTTACTGATACTTTTGGAGTTAAGTTTTTCATGTGTTATGGAAAAAAATGATCTAGATTAGTTAGGTCACCATGCTAAAAAAAAAAAAACCTACCTTCTCAAAGTATGATCTATATGCCAGTAGAATTGACATTAAGTAGGAGCTTGTTAAAAATGATAGAAATACACCAGCATTAACTGAATAAGTATATACATTTTAACATTATCCTCGGGTGGTTCATAACCATGTTAAAGATGTAGAAGTGCTAAACAAACTTATTCTATGATTTAAACCTAATTGTTCCTATTAAATGCTATGCCTTTTCATATTGTTTTAATTTTACATTAAGAAAGTTACGCAATAATGTTTTATTCCACAACGCTGTTTTAAATTTACCAATAAAAGAATAAAGGTCCAGTTTTTGTTTTTTTCTTGGCTGGTCAAATACTACCTTTAAGAGAAGAAAATAATTACAAGACAGTAATTATAGCATTTTTAATAATAATTATAAGATATATTAGAATATAACGTTCTAGTTAATTCTGTTTAACATCATAATACTAAATGCAGGTGAAACACATTTTTATCATATACAGTATTCAGATCAATTAATTTTTGGCAACCATGCCTTTATATATATCATATTATTAAAATGTTTACTAACCCCATTCCACATTTTGCTTAGTAACATAGGTACATAAGGTTGCCTTGAAATGTTTTCTCAAATATTCTCATGTTCTGGGAAGATTCTTTAGGCATTATTGAACAATAATATCCTGTATTCCTTTGTGTATAGTACCAAACTCATATTTCTCCTTGTCCCCAAGCAACTTTAAAACTCTTGATACTAATTTCTATTTCTATTTCCAAGAATTTATTAGATATATTAACTATTTTAAGTGAAAAATCAATTCCCACTAAATTATCTTACCCTTTGGATTTGTGAATGTGTAAAGTAGGTCACCTATTTTCTTTTCTATTATAGATCTCTGGTTTTTGTGAGACTATGTCTATGAATTTTATAATTAAACTTCTCTAAATTTTTATTGTAATACCTTTGAATATTGCTGTAAAATTTATTGCATACACTTTTTGTTCATAATAGCCTATTTGATTTGGAACTTGTGAGGCAGCTCTTAGCATAATACCATATAATTGATATTTTCAAATAAAAAATGCAGGATGTCATTTGTTTTGAACTTTTTGGAATTCTTTTAGATACTGAAATAAATTAATAATGAAGACATTACGAGGTGAAAAAAATCAGTTTCATATCTAATGTTCAATCATGAACCTGGAATTATTTCAACTTAGAAAACCATTTTTATTGCATTTAATTTTTTTCTCTTTTGAATAGACTTTATTTCTTAGGATTTACTCTTAGTGCTGTACATGCTATGTGCTTTGACAAATATATAATGACATGTATTCACTATTATAGAATCATACAGAATAGTTGAGCTTCCCTAAAAAAATCTTCTATGCTTGACCTATTCGTTTCTCCTTCCACCCTTACCCCTGGCAACTACTGATCTTTTTTTGACTACATAGTTTTCCAGTATTTCTTATAATTGGAATCATACAATATGTAGCCTTGTCAGATTGGTTTCTTTCACTTAGTAAGATGAATTTAAGGTTGCTCCATGTCTTTTTGGTTTGATAGCTCATTTCTTTATAGCACGGAAAAATATTCCATTGTCCTCATGCAGCACAACTTATTTTTCCACTCAATTATTGAAGGATATCTTGCTTACTTACAAGTTTTGACAATTATGAATAATATTGCTATAAACATCCATGTGCAGTGTTTTGTGTGTATGTAAATGTTCAACTTATTTGGGTAAGTACCAAAGAACATGACTCTAGATTGCAAGGTAAGATTTGCTTAGTTTTGTAAAAAACTGGCCAACTGTCTTCCACTATGGCTATGCAATTTATCTTCCCCACTAGCAAAACATGTAAGTTCCTGTTGCTTCATATCCTTGCCAGCATTCAATATTGTCAAAGTTCTGAATTTTGGCCATTCTAGCACATGTATAGCAGTATCTCATTGTTTTAATTTGCGTTTCTCTAATGATATATGATATGGAACATTGTTTTATATTACTTTCTATCTATCTTCTTTGTTAAGACATCTGTTCAAGTCTTTTGCTGATTTTTTTTAGTTTGTTAATTTTCTTACTGCTGACTTTTAGGATGTATTGTGTATGTTGGATAATAGACCTTTTTGAAATATGTCTTTTGAAAATATTTTCTTGCAGTCTGTGGCTCGTCTTCTAATTCTCATAATATTGCATGTAACTTAAGAATTTACTCTTTAATTCATTCACCTACTTAACAAACATTTGTTATGTACCTATGACAACAATAAAGCATAATTTCCAATTCACCCTAAACTTAGTCTAGTAGAAGAAAGACTTAGAGCAGCTCTAAATAGAAGAGTTGTCATGAAGGTCAGGCTATTTCTAACTAGGAGAAGCTGATAATGCTGCTTGGTAGAAGCAGCTGATACCAGCTGAGATTTCTCCACTCTGAATCTCTCTGCTCTTGAATTACCTTTGAGTCTTAATGGATTTGTGAATGTAGGGGTGTGTGTGTGTGTGTGTGTGTGTGTGTGTGTGTGTGTGTGTGTATGAGTGTTGGGGGCCAGGGCAGTGGTTAAAGTCATTAGATGATTCCTAACATACTTTTTCAATTCTTAACTGTTATATACTACTTTATCACAATTTTATTTGGCTTGAAATTTTCATCGACATGTATTAAATCATTAAAAGTGTAATATGATTGTGACTAACAATCTAGGTATCTGGAATTTGGGTTCTAGAACTACAGCACTCTCCATGACTGTTTAAAAGTCATGAAAGTCCATAAGAAGATACAGTATTCTAGGACAAGTCCCTTTAAAAATTATCCCTGTCAAATAAGAAACTCAGAAATCTGTGACAGCACGGGAGCCTGATGGCAGAGAGTATGCTGATTCAGTTCTTGAATTTTCCATGACGACTTCTCACCTGCACTTAGCAGCTGTTTGTTGCTTGGTTCACTGGAGCATATGATGCTGAACCAAACCATGGGTCAATAAAGTCATTTGCAGTGATCAACCCTATGAGTGAAAGAGGTGATGAATCAACCAAACTCCTTTAGGCAACAGACCTAGCAGGGAAATTTTGCACTTTAGCTAGTAAGATATAATCAAATGAATCCGCAGCCTGCACATCTCCCTAATTAATTTTACTACCTTTGGAGAAGGCATGCAACAAACTTTTAAATGCTTTTCTTGTTTAATAGGGATGTTAGTGGGTAGACATCAAACTATGCATAAAACTTTTCAACCTTGATCTTGTAGGCGCTTAGACAGTGATTTCTTGATTTTTATATGATCAGGTTGGAATTCAATATTAGCTTCAATATTCTTCACATTTCTGTATATTTTTCTATTAGTTTAAAATGTAAACTCAATTATTGTAATTATTATAAAAATGACATTACTATTTTTATATCAATAAAATCATAACAGCTGTTCTTTTTGAGCGCATACTAAGTCCCGTGAGCCATGTGCTTTACATGTATTTAATTGCTGAAAATTGAGTACTTTTGGAACTGTCTAAAACAAGTGCTACATTATATACCATACTATTTTAAATAGATGTATGATATAATATCCATTGCTCTGCTTATGTTTGAACTGCAAAAATGACACTCATTATTGATTTACCCCAGTTAAAATTTGAGTCCAGATGATGTGATCCCATACTACCTGCTTACATGAGACATTTGATTTAATCCTTGTATTATTCCTGGGGAGGAAGTTGTCATCACACTATTAGATAGGAGATGAACTGATGTTTACCAAGTAAGCTTCTAAGTTTGGCTGAAGAAATTTATAATCAGAATTTTATGGTTTTTCTCCTTGAAAATCTACTTGTCATGAAAATCTTAATTTTTTTCTTAAACTTACATTGGCAAATATTTTTGTGCTAAAATACAATATGAGTCACTTTGGGGCCAATCAGAAGGAAGAAATATTTGGGCCCTTTGTAGGAATTAATCTAGTCTGCCGGTAAGCAATGGTTTTGGCTTTATATAGTGATTCATCAACTCAACAAGTGTTTGTTCAGTGCCTGCAGATGACAATGGAGGTTTCCTTTTCTCTATCAGAGTTGACTTTATTTGAAATCAACCCACTTTCCAAAATTTCAAGCAATGAGAAACCCAAAGCCTTCTCCATGTGTTTTGTGAATCCCTGGAAAAGCATCAGCTCATATAAAATCCCTTTCAGTTTATTAAAAAATCTTACTGGCCCTCAAGTCTTTTTCTTCTGAATTGCATGATTGTCGACCTAAACTTTACCTCTATATGAGAACTATGTTACTCCTTCCCATATTTCCACAAACAAAATAAAAATGTGCTAGCATTCTCATCTGTTGCTCTGTGTGGACAATAGGGCTGAACCCAGACTTGAGGAGACTGAAGGGATAAATGCATCAGTCAAACACCACAAACTAAACATCAATAATCCTGTCTATGGTTTCAGCTACCAAACCACCAGACATTTTACTCTGGCCCCTTCGCTGCATGCAGTACCTGGGTTCATGCCAGTTCAGAGGCCTTTCTTATCTCTTACTTTCTCTGTAATTTCTATATTTCACTCACTTTCCTAAGTTATTTAAATAAATGCCAAGTTCTTCTCACTTGGTAGTCTGGAGATACTAACCTTTTTTATACTCCTCCCCTCAAACTCCAGGATAACACTCAAAGGCTTTCTGCAGGCCAAAATGCCTTCTCTATACGGAGATACACTTTCCTTAGGAGGCACTTGTCAGTGTGTGCATTTGTGTGTTATTGTTATTTTTACCTCTTTGTCCTATTCTGTGTTGTAAATGCCCAAGTGTTAAATTATGACATTATAGAAAATGCTAAATCTTCCACGGAGGGGTCACACTTCCTTTGTATTGAACAGCTCAAGTTAATAAAAACTGAAATGAAACAATGAACAGCTCAAGTTAATAAAAACTGAATGAAATAATTCTATAACAATCAGATTGTTATATAACAATTAATGTTATATAACTATAACATTTAATGTTATATAACTATAACATTTAATGTTATATAACTATAACATTTAATGTTATATAACTATAACATTAAATGTTATATAACTATAACATTAAATGTTATATAACTATAACATTAAATGTTATATAACTATAACATTTAATGTTATATAACTATAACATTAAATGTTATATAACAATGTTACATTTAATGTTATGTAACACTGTTATAGAATTATTTATATCAAGTTGAACTCTTTGTCTTTGTAATTTCTATTCCTTAGTAATAGAAATTTCTCTAGGTCCACGCACCAGATGTCTGTTTAAAATATGATTTTCTCATTTGTTTGAACCATCTTTATGTGAACCTTCAAAATCCTAATTACTTGCCTTTAAACCTTTTTCCCCCTATGGTGCTATTAAAATATCAAGGCCAGAACAGAACACAATGATCCATATTTAGTTTTATCAGTGAGGGATAAGGGATGTAGCCATTCCCTATTTTGAAGTGCAACACTTCAAATGAAGACCTATACTGATTTCTTGTAGCTACAAAGCAATTTATTGACAATAAAAATGCTGGATTATTTATCACATATGTGTTACTACTAATCTATATCTCTTCCTTTGTGATTTTTTAATATTTAATTTTTATTTATTTTTTCCACTATTTTTATCTGAACACCATGTTTTCATGTAACCATATTGATATAAATTTGCATTCATATTTTCTTTACTTACATTTTTTTCGCCGATCTCTCCACGCAATTATTGGTTGAACTTGCATTGTTTCGTATGTCTTCACTCCTGAACTCTATACTATTTTGATATTCCTTATAAAATGTCTTATTATATATGTGAAAAAGAAAACACTAACACATTTCTCACAAAGTTGATAATTAACATTTTTTATTCTGTACCTGTTACTATCAGACATATGAACATACATACTAGTAAGTTCCTGAAATAGTCTATTTAGTCTTTTGTGTATTATAATTTGAGACTTTCCAAGAACATACTTATTCTCTAAAGCTTCAAAGAAATATGGTAATTTTCTCTTAGGAATAGGTTTTTCCATCCCCAGAGTATATTATTTATCTCAACCCCACTTTGAATTATGAGGTAATATCTCCTTCCGATATTCCCAAACAAGAATAATAAGAAAATGTCACCAATTATTTGAAATCCTCATAGTTAAGAGAACAAAATCTCTGGCTATTTTAGAGGAAGAAACAAACACAAATTGATATTAATCCTTCATTCTTAGATTAATTCTTCAAAAACCATTAACTTAACACCTTCTTAATTTTAAGCTAAAAAAATAGTCACCAAAGGGCTGGATGGAAGGGAGTGGGCGAATAATCCACTAATGCTTTGAAAGGGGCCAACATTTAATGATAAAAAAGGTCTGTAAATATCTGGTGTCTTGAGTGCTGAGTGATGACTCATATGCTAGGTTTGTGTAAAGCAAGAGCCTGCTGCTGGAGCACGCAGGAGTGAGCATCTGAGGATACAGTAGTAAGAGAAGAGAACGGGCCTACTTGGGAAAGGTGTCTAATGTAATAGTCTTCAATAAAAAGAGTGAGTATTTGGCCGGGGATGAGTGTCTAGAATTGAGCATCACAAAGTGATTGACCCATATCTTTGACCCCTTTGCAAAGTGATTGACTCTGGGCATCTTGCATAAGCTATACTGCAATGGTCCCTTTACCACATTCGTCTCCTAAGCAGAGAATGTCTTTGTAAATGGAAGGCCTTTTAGATCTGCTGAGCACTTTGATGGGTGGCTGCGCATATTTTAGCCTATAGCCTGTCAGGACAGCATGAGGCATATTTAACTGCTCTTGAAACACTTTTCTGATTCCTCCACAGAAGGTGAGAAAATCAGACTTTTTCTTCAGCTATGCAATATTCTATTAGTGATATGTAGAACAATTGACAGTGGAAAAAACATTTAGAAAATCACAAGGAATGAGGGACTTACTGCAATGTGGGGTGATAATGTAAAGGAAACAAAAGAGATATGGTGACTCTCTATTTTTTAGCTTGAAAAATTGAATGAATGCTAGTACTCTATGCAGGATTTCCAAAGAAGGGAAGAACCGTTTGAAAAGCAGTGAGGATAATGGATTTTGTCTAGAGAATTTTAGAATTTGAGATACGTGGGGGAATGTAATTGTGAATGCAAAATACCTCTGGGAATTTTTAAGAAGAACAAAGTAAAATAGGATGAGAAAGAATATTAGAAAAGCAGAGGTACATTTAAAATAATCAGGGCCTGAAGGAAAAAAAAAAAAGCAGGGGTGATTTGAAACTCTGTCTCAGTTGTTTAATGCTTTGTAACTAATCAGTCCACAATCTGAGTGCTCAAAACAGTAACTATCATTCCATTATATCTTTAAGATTCTGTGTGTCAGGAATTTAAGAAAAGCTTGTCTGTGTGTGGTGGCATGTGCCTGTAATCCCAGCTACTTGGGAGGCTGAGGCAGGAGAATCACTTGAACCAGGGAGGCAGAGGTTGCAGTGAACGGAGATTGCGCCACTGCACTCTAGCCTGGTGACAAAGTGAGAGAATCTGTCTCAAAGAAAAAAGAAAAAAAAAAAAAAAAAAAAAAAAAAAAAAAAAAAAAAAAAAGAAAAGCTTGTCTTGGTGGTTCTGGCTTGTCTTAGCTTGGACTACTATAACAAAATACCATAGATTGGGTGACTTAAACAACAGACAATTTGTTTCTCATAGTTCTGCAGGCTGGGAAGTTCAAGGTTAATTTACTGGCAGATTTCATTCCTGGTGAAGGCTGTCTTCCTGGCCGGTAGATGGCTGTCTTCTCAATGCATGCTCCCATGACTTAACTCTTTTTGTATGTGGGGAGATAGAGAGCTCTGGTCTCTCTTCCTTTTCTTTTAAGGAAACTAATCCCAATGCAAGACTACCTTTATGTCTTTATTTAAACTTAATTACCTCCCAAATCTAAATGCCAAAACACTGGGGGTTACGGCAACATGTAATGCAACATGTAAATTTCTGGGGGAGGCACTAACGTTCAGACCATAACTTGGCCAAAGATGCCTGATGCAGTTGGATCAAATGATGGCTGGAGCTGCAGCAGCTGAGAGATATCCTCACATATCTCTATCTTCATTTAATCTCAAGCTTCTCTATTGAGTCTCTTCATCCAGACAAGTTTGGTCTTCTTTACTGCTTCAGAACAGTAGAGTGGCTTATCTGGTGGCACAGGGTTCAAGTGTTCCAACTCATAAGCTGCATATTATTTTTTATGACCTAACCTCAGAAGTCATCCACTCACTACTGCAGGTTTCTATTGGTTACAAGCCTATCCAGATTAAAGTGAAAAGAATTCGATTCCCCCTTTGACGGGAGAGTGGCAAAGTTCTTGGAAAGCACATGGAGTGAGAGAAACTATTGCTATCTTTGGAAGATGTTATGCAAAACATAAAAAAGTGATCCAATGTGTAATCATTGATGGAGATATAAAATATGGTAATTTCTAAAAATGTCATTAGATTTAGTCCTAGTGAGAAGCATTACAAAGTTGTGATAAAGGCAAAAGTAAGATTTCAATGATTTAAGAATTCAGTGGGAGGTGAGGAAATAGAGAAAAAGTGTAACAATTCCATTCATAAATATTGAAGATAAAGAATAATAAGGTAGATTATCTAGAAGGTTAACCTTTACAAAGATTGACCTTTAGTATGTGAAAGACTTGAACATGTTTGTATGCTGAAGGGAAATTATGACCCTTGGGTCAAACCTGGACCATCGCCTATTTTTATGAATCAAGCTTTATTGGAACATGGCCACACATTCGAGCTTCAACAACCAAACTGAGTAGCTGTGACCAGAACTGTCTGACTCATACCATCTAAAATACTGACTAGATATCTAGCACTTTACAGAATTTTTTTTCTAAGCCCTGAAGTAGAAGAGAAAATAGTAAAACATTACATTTAAAAATATGGGGGCTACTAGGAGGAGTGAGATTCCTAAAGAGTTGAAAATTTATAGAGTCCTAATGTTAGTTCAAATTGTACCAACATGGTGACTGGTATGTAAGAGTAAGCACTGAAAATACTTCTTAAATCATAAATGTATGAATAAGAACAATAGCTTTACTAAAAATGTAATAGCTCTTTAGGAGTAAAAGACAATAATCCCGATCCGGATTTTTTTTTGTGGTCTAGAGAAAGATACTATGTATAGAAGCAAGAGGATTGCTATGTTCAAATCCTTATTTGTAAATTAGTACAAGTAATTTTTTCATTTCAAGTGTGGGTGAAGAATGTTGTTCAGTCTTATGATATGTGCAACTTAAAGGCCACAATTAAATTAATTAGTTTTCCCTAAAATTACAAGAGTCAACTTTGGTTACGCAGTGGACTTCCTAGCTGCAATGAGTAGCCTGCTGTTACATGGGACATCTAATCTGTAGTCCATCTTCCTGGGAACATGGTTAAAGTGGTGTTTTACCAAGATTCTTCATCTGTAATATGGGGAGTTTTCATCTTCATGGTATGTTCTCAGAATTAAATTATATATTCTATAATTAGCCCAATAAATGTTAGCGTTGTTTCTGTTTTGTTGTTGTTTGTTTTGTATATGTTGGGAAAGGACAATTTGTTTTAGTTATAAGGACAGAAGAGTGCTAATGCTATTTGGTAACAATGCTAAAGAATGCTAACCTCAGTCAGGCCAATATAACCAACAATTATGATGTTAAGAAAGACTACGTAGCACCAAAAATAATAAATATTAAAATGACCCTTGTAAATAAAGATAAAACATGCCCAGATTAA
Organism: Homo sapiens; assembly: GCF_000001405.40. Classification (NCBI taxonomy): domain Eukaryota; kingdom Metazoa; phylum Chordata; class Mammalia; order Primates; family Hominidae; genus Homo; species Homo sapiens. The sequence continues at coordinate 20,553,231 of NC_000005.10, read as the reverse complement.
CTTTGAGGAATATTTTCAAATCACCGTATGAATTGGAATCTTTCCACAGACTAAAGTTAGCTGTTTTATAAATCCTGCAAATATGATAGCATATTTCTAAAATAAAAATATATTAACAATTAAAATTTATTTTTAGAAAACTTGGACAAGAATCTTGATGTTAGAAAAATCCTAAGATAAGCCAGGCATGGTGGCTCACTCCTGTAATCCCAGCACTTTGGGAGGCCCAGGCGGGCGTATCACGAGGTCAGGAGTTCAAGACCAGCCTGGCCAACATGGTGAAACCCTGTCTCTACTAAAAATACAAAAATTAGCCGTGCATGATGGAGCACGCCTGTAGTCTCGGCTACTCAGGAGGCTGAGACAGGAGAATTGCTTGAACCGCGAGGCAGAGGTTGCGGTGAGCCGAGATCACACGCCACTGCACTCCAGCCTGGGCAACAGAGCAAGACTCTGTTTGAAAAAAAAAAAATCTTAAGACATTATTAAGGTGAAAACTCCTTTTTGAGAAAATGAAATTTCACGTAGACTAAGTTTTTATGTAAAAATATAAGATAGTTATCTTACTGAAAGACATTTTTCTTATTCTGTATCTATTTAATCTGAGTTTATAACTTTTTTGAAGTATTTGAAACCCTGACAATATTTGAGATGATCAATAATTTATTTTTTCAGTATGTATGAGACTAAAATATAAAATTAGAGAAGAAAGAAGTAAACAAATTGAGTTTGTTTTTGGTTTTGTTTGTTTGTTTGAAACTGAGTCTTACTCTCTCACCCAGACTGGAGTACAGTGGCATGGTCTCTGCTCACAGCAAACTCCACCTCACGGGTTCAAGTGATTCTCCTGCCTCAGCCTCTCAAGTAGCTGGGATAACAGGCGCCCACGACCACGCCCAGCTAATTTTTGTATTTTTAGTAGAGACGAGGTTTTACCATGTTGGCCATGCTGGTCTTGAACCCCTGACCCCAAGTGATCTGCCCATGTCGGTCTCCTGAAGTGCTGTTATTATAGGCATGAGCCAATGCGCCCACCTGAATGCTTTTTTTTTTTAATGAAACCAAAAATTCTGCACACATTTCTGAGGTCTGTGTATTTGTATATATTTTTCACATTTTGCTAGCAAATCTTTGGCAAACATACCTGCTATTGCTATTGTATGATGTTTCTTGAATATTTGAACACTCAAACTCAATTTGTTTACTTCTTTCTTCTCCAACTATAATTTTATATTTAAGTCTCATAAATACTGAAAAAATAACAAATTATTGATCATCTCAAATATTGTCAGGGTTTCAAATACTTTAAAAAAGAAGTTATAAGCTCAGATTAAAGAGATATAGATTAACTAAGAAGAAGAATTAACTAAGAAGAATATTTTAAGAACTCTCATTTAACTCCACTGACTTACAGACCTACACATTTTTTGCCCTTAAAAAAAACACTGACCAAATTAGTAAGTGAAAACAAGTAGAAATTTATGATTTCTTAAATTCTCATCTTTGGTGACTTAAAATATAGTTGTATGTGTACAAGGAGTAGGATTCTGAGAAAGAAATAATAACTAGTCTTATAATGTAATAACCAACTCAGAGGGACTCCAGTTGAATAACAGAGATCAGCTGTAGAGTTGAGTTGTTACTCAACTCCAATTGATTAACAGAGATCAGCTGTAGAGATCAGCTGTAGGTGTACCAAGCCAGGAAAGTGTCTCTTTCTCTGTTTCTATTAACAGCAAGTGGGTGTGTGTCATAAAATGTGGAAGGGAAGTCACAACCTTAACTTGCAACAATTAGACTAGTCTTTTTCCTGGTAAGACTAGAAGGTGTTGGGAAGCAAGACACTTCAGATGTCCCCTTTGAAGAAGTAAAAACGTGGTCAGTGGAATTTGACACCACTGTAAAAGTCAGGAGCTGATTAAACACCAAAGATCACCTGTGAGCAAGCGTCCTTCTAACCCACATATCTTACATGAAGGAAAATTAAAGATTTATCTTTAAAGGATAAGGAGAAAAAAACAGGATCCTATTAAAAATAACATTTTAGATAATATTTATCTCATAGCTGGTTTCATATCAGAAAGAGATTTACATTTACTCCTGATGTTTCCTTCGTTCATCTATTTATTATTTTAGCACGTTTTTATTGAGACATCTATTAGTTTGAATTTCTGTTGTAATGAATTGCCAGAAACTTTGGGTCTTGCTGATGAGTTCTCATTCTGTTATTCTCATTCTATTATTAGTTCATGGGAGAGCTGGCTGTTTAAAAGGAAATTGGCAACTGCTCCCACCTCCTCTTTCTCTAGCTCCCTCCCTTGCCATGTGATACACCAGCTCCTGCTTTGACTTCTGCCATGATTGGAAGCTTCCTGAGGCTTTCATCAGAAGCAGATGCTGGCACCAGGCTTGTATGTCCTTCAGAACCACGAGCCAAAATAAACCTCTTTTTTAAATAAATTACCCAGCCTAGGAATTTCTTCATAGCAACACTAAATGGACTAAAACAGCATGCAAAGCAGGTGGGCTCTAAGTGGCTAAAGAGCTCTACATTTATTAAACCTAAACCAAATTATCCTTATGTTTCTTATTAGGGCTCTAACTAGGAGTATTTATGATGACATATTCTTTGGCTAAAACTTCAGTCTCTGAGTATGTGGCATGCTTGTGCTCCCTAGATGTTTCTTTGATGGACAACATTAATGTTACAAGAAGTATTGATTGAATTAAATTGAAAATCCAGATTTAGAGAAGAAAAGTTCTATTGGCTATATTATTACTTTAAAAAATCTTTAACTTTCGTTTATTATTTTTAACCTTTAGGTCCTTGTATTACTAAAATTCTATAGATCGCTCTCCAAGGTGTAAACTGGCTTTATAGTCACAACTCTATTTCTAAATTGTTTCTTCATACCTGATAGGACTCTTGTTCATTAAGTTATTTTTTCATTATAATATTAGCATGCATTAACAATTTCTAAAATACACCCAGTATTGGTTTTATTATTGTTGCAATAGCATAACAGTTTACCATTACCTTTTGAATACACATTAACAATAGCCAGATCCTTTTAAACTCAGTAGTATGTAGTTCAATCTTTAAACGTGACAGGTAGGATAAATCTCAAAATTGAACACATTGTCTTATATGAGAGAGTTTTTGTTTTCCAAATATATGAGCTAGTCAATAGATTCTAAATATGCACTTTAAATAGAAATACAGTCTGTGCATTTCAAATATTTTAGATACATTAGAAAATTTCAATATTAAAGATCCACTCAAAAAGGTCACTGATATTTTTACTTCATCTCTTGCATATGTTGAAACAATTTTTTATAAACTACTTTTCTTTGAAAAGAAGTTTATCACGTGGTGAATATGCTAGAGTGGAATAAATATGCACATTTTTATATGTCCCCATGGATCCTACTAGACTTCTAGAGCTCTCTATCCCCACTCTACTGCCTTGAATTAAAACAACCTCAGCTGTCTCCTGAATTACTATAGCGGTTTATTTCAGTACATTTCATGTCTAATTGAATCTTGCCTCGTGACCCTTCCTTCTTTACTCAGTAGTGAAATAATACTTCAAAGAACAGAGTTAATCTTCTCACTTTCTTGCTTAAAAAATGTCTTCTGTAATGTTTCCCTATGGGCTCAAGATAACATCCAAACTCCTTAATTTTAAATATAATATTCTCTGTTATTTCGGCCGTGCTTTCCTCTATAACCTACTGTAGTAAATCTAAGAGTATCTCTTGGTGTTCCACAGATATTGAAGTCTTTGCAGTTCTTCTAGAGCAATAGCTGATAGATATTTTGATTCAATTACCTGGAAAATAAACAAAAATTAGAAGACACACAGACACCTGATCTTGCAAACTGTATTTTACCTATTAAGAAGTGTTTGTATATATAGAATGTGTCAATATGAAAGAATAAAATTTAAAACTAAAAATGTTATGCAAGCACAAACATTTATAAAACCACATATAAAAGTTTATGAAATACTTTCATTGTTGTATTTCAAAGTGAACCTACATAAACTGTTGCAAAAATTTAGAGCAAGTTATGAATCTATATTTGAGAATCACTCTAAGTATTTTACATAAACTGTTTCTTTTGCCTGGTGTTACTTTTTCTTTAAATTGCCACCATTATCACAGGCAGCATGAGACATTTTTTCTTTATATTTGACCACTATGTCTAAGGATAGATTCTATTCCTTTACTAAGTTTTGCCTAAACTCTCCAAATGTGAATGGATTATCACCCTATATGTTCCATCATATTCAATCCTACACCACTGTGAATCGAACACATTGTATTTGCCAACTTCTCTCTTTCACCAGTACACTTAAGATTTTCCAGATCAAGACATTAGACTTCATCACCCATAGCTACCTGTGTGTACCTTGCCCAGGTCCAGGCACAGTGGAGCAAAAATAAGGATTGGACAGAACAATGACTACATCACAATTTCAACTGACAAGTAAAGTTTAGCAGTAGTTATGTAGAAGGCAGATTTGTTGAACCCACTTCAGCATTCTTCAGTCATAAATAGAGATTATTACTTGTTTTTTCCCTTTGATTCTAGATTCACTGTACAAACATCAGTTATGCTCTTTATGGCAAATGTGGAAAGAACAACTTCTGTGAGATGAGCATTGTTAAAATAAACAGATAAACCAATTTACCTTACTGTCATGAAAGTTGATTGTTGTGCCTTAAAAAAATTAAACATAATACATTTGTGTGTGTGTATACACACACACACACACACACACACACAAACATGTTCTCTATTACCTGACAATCCATACAGGCATTTACTTCCTGAATAAGTATCCAGGGACATATTTTATGAACACATATACACATACAATAAAATGTCGGTATTGCAACTGGCAGACTTATCTTGAATAAATAAAATTACTTTGGAAAGATGAGTAATGACTACATAGATGACCTTTTATTTTTGACATGTCCAATATACCTGTCTTTAAAATAATTTATTAATATTTATATTATAAAATATTTTAATATAACTATCTTTCACATTAAGCTGGCTATTATCAGAAATAGTAGTTAATATAGTAATATAGATCATTAGTTGGTGACCTAATTTAAAAGGAAAAACTAATGGCCCTATATAGTATGAACATATTTTGTTTTTTTTTAGTCTTAAAGCATGCATTAAATCAGTATTATATATTTTCTACTTACTGAATACAAATCTATTTTGCAGTATCAACATATTCAAATATATATAAGATTTAATACCTATATTCAAACTGAGAGCTTTTTTCTTATTTTATATTTTATATCTGTAAAGAGATGAAATTGAATATAGGTACTAATAAAAGTATCTGGGATTCTATGACAAAAAATGTTAATCAACTAAGTAAACTAAACATGAAGTTACACACTGAAATCTTACTGACTCTGCTTCAGTCTTCCTACTCATCTAGGAATAAGTTTAGTGAATCTTTGTAGCAGGCATTATCATATTTTACCTGGAAAGTTTGTCCAAATTGTCTTCTCATTATTTAAGCCAAACATGTTGACTAGGATGTCCTAATATTAGCCTAAGAATGCTATCAAAATTTAAACCAGTTTCATAGTTGACAGTGAAACTTTTTACATATAGTTTGATTCTTTTTTTTTTTTTCTGACAGAGTCTTGCCCTGTCACCCAGACTGGAGTGCAATGGTGCGATCTCGACTCATTGCAACCTCTGCCTCCTGGGTTCAAATGATTCTCCTGCCTCAGCCTCCTGAGTAGCTGGGAGTACAGGGACCTGCCACCATGCCCAGCTAGTTTTTGTATTTTTAGTAGAGACGGGGTTTCACAATATTGGCCAGGCTGGTCTTGAATTCCTGACCTAATGATCCGCCCAACTCGGCCTCCCAAAGTGCTGGGATTCCAGGCATGAGCACCATGCCTGGCCAGTTTGATTCTTTTAGTATCTTGGGTTTTAGTTTTATTTTCAACATTCTAGCCTATATTGCTTGTCACTTTATATATCACTGTTTTCCCTTTAGCAGTTATTTTAAATCTCACTTTCTAACATAAATTGAATCGGTAAATTTAAATTTATGTTCCTTAAATAAATGCAGTTTTAAAGCGTGGTGATTTTTTTCACCTTTGGTAAATTTGTTTCTTGTTTTAGTTTTCTGATTTTTCACTAGCGCCATCTCTGTGTTTTGATAGACAGCGTGTGTAGGAATACCAGAAACTCCATCTTCCATCAAACACAAGCAAATAATGTCATAACACCTAGCCATCAAGGACTATCACTTGACTTCTAGTGGTTTATCAATTTCTGTTTCCCAATAATAGCAAAATATTGTATTTGCAAGAAGAGAGAAAGTTTAAAACAAATAAATTGTTTTTTCAGTATGCTTGGTTGAAAGGCCTGTGGCAAATCTCTATCTTGTACTGTGTGTATATATGCACATATGTGTGTGTGTGTGTGTGTCTATGTATGTATGTGATATGGTTTGACTCTGTGTCCCTACCCAAATCTCATCTTGAATTGTAATCCCCACATATCCAGGGAGGGATGTGATGGGATGTAATTGGATCCTGGGAGTGGTTTCTCCCATGTTATTATTGTGATAGTGAGTGAGTTATCGCGAGAACCGATGGATTCAACAGTGTGGCACTTTCCTTCTCTCACTCTCTCTTGCTGCCACATAAGATGTGCTTTACTTCCCTTCACCTTCCACCACGATTGTAAATTTCCTGAGGCCTCCCATCCATGCAAAACTTTGAGTCAGTTAAACCTCCTTTCTTTATAAATTAACCAGTCTCAAGTAGTTTTTTTTTATAGTAGTGTGAAAGCAGACTAATATAGAGAATTGGTACTGGCAGAGTGGGGTCCTGCTATAAAGATAACCTGAAAATGTGGAAATGAGTTTGGAACTGGGTAACAGGCAGAGTTGAAAGTTTGGAAGGCTCAGAAGAAGACAGGAAGTTGAGGAAAAGTTTGGAACTTCCTAGAGACTTATTGAATGGTTTTGGCCAAAATACTTATAGTGACATGGAAAAGGAAGTCCAGGCTGAGGTGGTCTCAGATGGAGATTAGGACCTTATTGGGAACCAGAGTAAAGGTCATTCATGCTATGCAAAGAGACTGGCAGCATTTTGCCCCCACCCTAGAGATCTGTGGAACTTTGAACTTAAGAGAGATGATGTAGTGTATCTAGTGGAAGAAATTTCTAAGCAGCAAAGCATTCAAGATATGACCTGGCTGATTCTGAAAATGTTCAGTTACATGCATTCACAAAGAGATGGTTTGAAATTGTAACTTACATTTAAAAGGGAAGCAGAGCATAAAGGTTTGGAAAATTTGCAGCCTGATCATGGGGTAGAAAGGAAAAACCCATTTTCTGTGGAATTATTCACGCCAGCCCCAGAAATTTGCTTAAGTAATGAGAGCTGAATGTTAATAGCCAAGACAATGGGGAATGTCTCCAGGGCATATCAGAGATCTTGGCAGTAGCCCCTCTCATCACAGTCCTGGAGGTCTAGGAGGGAAAAATGGTTTTATGGGCCAGGCCCAGAATCCTGCTGCTCTGTGCAGCCTTGGGACTTAGTGCACTGCATCCCAGCTGCTCTAGCTCCAGCAGTGGCTAAAGGGTGCCAACGTATATCTTGGTCTATGGCTTCAGACCCAACCTTGGCAGCTTCCATTTGCTGTTGGGCTTGTAGGTGTGCAGAGACATGAGTTGAGCTTTGGGAACCTTAGCCTAGATTTCAGATGATGTGAGGAAATGCCTGGGTGTCTAGGCAGAAGTCCTCTGCAGGGGTGGAGCCCTCATGGAGAACCTCTGCTAGGGCAATGCAGAGGGAAAATGTGGGTTTGGAGCACCCACACAGAGTGCCCACTGGGGCATTGCCTAGTGGAACTGTGAGAAGAGGCCCACCATTCTCCAGACCCCAGAAATGTATATCCAATGACAACTTGCACCATGAACCTAGAAATCCACAAGTACCCAATGCCAGCTCCTGAAAGCAGCAGCAGAGGCTGTACCCTGACTAGCCACAGAGGCACAGTTGCCAAAGGCCTTGGGAGCCCACCCCTTGCACCAGCATTTCCTGGATGTGAGACATGGAATCAAAGGGTAATATTTTGAACTTTAAGATTTAATGACTGTCTGGCCAGGTTTCATACTTGCATGGGTTCTGTAGCCCCTTTGCTCTGGCCAATTTCTTTCATTTGGAACAGGAGCATTTATCCAATGCCTTTACCACCATTGTATCTTGGAAGTAATTGACTTGCTTTTTACTTAACAGGCTCATGTGCAGAAGGAACTTGCCTTGACTCAGATGAAACTTTGGACTTGAACTTTTGAGTTAATGCTGGAATGAATTAAGTCTTTGGGTGACTGTTGGGAAGGCATGATTGGCTTCAAAATGTGAAAAGGGCATGATATTTGGGAGGGGCAAAGAGGATAATGATATGGTTTGCCTCTGTGTCCCCACCCAAATCTCATCTTGGGTTGTAATCCTCACACGTTGAGGGTGGGACCTGGTGGGAGGTGATTGGATTATGGGAGTGGTTTCCCCCATGCTGTTCTGGTGATAGTGAGTGAATTCTAATGAGAGCTAATGGTTTTAAAAGTGTGGCACTTTCCCTCTCTCGCTCTCTCTCTCTCCTCTGCCATGTAAGATGTGCCTTGCTTCCCCTTTGCCTTCCAATATGATTGTTAGTTTCCTGATGCCTCTCCAGCCATATGGAACTATGAGTCAATTAACTATCCTTTCTTTATAAATTACTTAGTCTCAGGTAGTATCTTTATAGCAGTGTGAGAACAGATTAATATGATATATATATACACATATGTGTGTACATTCTTTATATATTATACATACACATATGTACACATATATATGTGTTTATGTGTGCTTTTTTTAAACTCATGGCTTGATTTGCATTTGAATTCTATCTTCCTCTATTAACCCACATGCATGCAATCTTCCCCATCTGTGAGGTATGCTTGTGAATATTTCTCCAATTTGTAATGTCTCTCGAAATTTTGTAAATTTCTGTGTTTGTAATATGTTTGGCCACAATCAAATCTGGCAGGACAAAGAGGGAAACAGATTCAGCAATAAACCTAATCACCTATGTACTGAAAAGTTTTGCACACAGTTAATCTTGATCATTCAGAATCAAGTATTAATGGATATTTGCTGGAAAATTCAACAACTCATTACATAGACAATTGAAAGAAAATAAATATGTGTTCTATATTCCTTGAAGATTTACAGAAAATAGTGAAATAAAATTACATTTGCCTTTCACATTTCAAAAATAGTTTCCTCAGAAAAATTCTGATACAATCAGTTTCTACCTTCTACTTTTTGTATTTGTTTAGCCAGAATATACATAGAATCATGGCAAATATTTAAGTGTACAATTGTACTGACCTATACGCAATGAGCTGAATTTAGTTATTTAATTTTTAAGAGTAGAAAGATCAAAGTAATCAGAGAGTAAAGTTTGTGGAAGGTATTTTATTTTAAATACATCTTTGCACATATTTAGTAGTGACAAAGAGAAAGTCATATGAAATAGGAATTGTGGTGAGGGTAAAATATTAATCCTACATCTCCAGGCAGCTTTATACAACTTCTATTCTATTTAAAAGCAATATAAAATCTTTCTATTCTGGCCAATCTCAGAAATATACCATGCTAAAGGCATAAAAATATTCCAAATCAGCAGCTTTAAATCCATGACAGCAGAGAAGGAGTGGCAAAATAAAGAAAACACTAAAGTATGTATGCTAAAATAACTTACAGCTTAGCACAAAATGTGTTTTCATCAATATAAATATTGTCATATAACTAATATGAAACAAAAACAATGACATAGAATTGAGAAACTGCTGTTATAATTATGAGAAAAAATAGAAAAATATATAAAATTTGAACTTCTAACAATAAGATGAAATATAAGTTTTTAATCATTTAACTATTTTACCTGTTACTCTGAAATATAATTATTAAATAGCAGTGTAACTTGGTTTTGATGCAGGTTTAACCATCTATTTATCAACTTGATATGTAAATTGTTATTCCCACAATAAATTGTACCATATTTTTTGCAATTATTTTAAATTATCAAAAGAGGTTAAGCCATTTATTAAAACAATTTTAAAAAGTTTGCCAGCAAAACAATCTTGATTTTCATGCCTTATTTAGCCATGAAACGCCAAACAAAAAGTTAATTTATCCTTGAGAAATTAACTATTTACCAAAAGAGTTTCCATGCTACAAATGTTTTATTGGAATGTGAAGTTTGTTTAAAATAAAACAATAAAAACTGTAGATTGTCTTACTAGATATTAAAATACACTACAAGTTTACACTAATAAAAATATTGGAGAATTAGTACAATAATGTATAAATAAATCCATGGACAAATAAAAGACTCTGAACCACAGCCATGTAAATATGGAGTTAGAATATAATATTGGAGGTGTCATAAATCAATGAAGACAGAATACATTATATTGTAAAATGATGTGGAGAAAAATGTCTTTCGTATGGAAAATAATAAAGTTGTCTTTTTATCCTACCACATATATAAAGTTGAAATCTAGTTGCATTAAAAATTTGTATAGAAATGCAACTATAATTCTTTTTAGCATGTGTGTATATATATGTATATATATCCATATGCATATATAGCATATATATGCATACGCACAATATATATACACACAATATAGCATTGTATGTGTGTGTATACATATGTGTATGTGTATACACACACACATTGCTATGTATTTATATACTATAATGCTAATAGAAACCCTTACCACAAGACCATGATGGGGATGTTTTATAATTACTGCCCCAATTTCTTCCTCTCATCTAATAATAATAATTATAATAATAGTAATTACTATTTGTTTAGCAATTACTGTTTATCCCTTCTCCTCTTTCTGCTGATGATAATAATAATAATTGATGTTATTTAACACTTACTATTTACTTAGCATTTGCTAAATTCTTTAGCACCACCAGTGCTGTAGATACTATGGAAAAACTGAACTCTGATGGTGAACATGGTGAAACACTGTCTCTATTAAAAATACAAAAATTAGCTAGGCGTGGTGGTGCATGCCTGTAGTCCCAGCTACTCAGGAGGCTGAGGCAGGAGAATCCCTTGAACCTGGGAGGCTGAGGTTGCAGTGAGCCGAGATTGCACCTCTACACTCCGGCCTGGGTGACAGAGCGAGACTCCGTCTCAAAAAACAAAAAACAACAACAAAAACCTGAACTTTGAGATATTCAATAACCTCGTCAGGGATGTAAAGCTAATGAATGTTTAACCTAGGAGTTGAAACTATATTGACTCTGTACTTCATCACTCCACACAATTACCTCTCACATGATTCTGATTCTTCTATATGGTGAAGTATAGCAACACTCTGCTGATTTCTTTATAATGCTTATTTCCTTTTAAAAGTTACTCCAAGGAGGTGCTGCTTAAATTTTTTGATTCATTTATTGCATATTACTTATTTTATTTAGAGAGACATATTTTTCAGAATATTGAAAAGACAAATAATAGTTTCATTTTTATCCTGATTAAATACCTCCCTTCCAAGTAGAACCATATTACAGCACCTGTGTGGGTTATATCCATCCTAATTTGCTTCATTCTAAGTTTATTTTTAATATTTTATCTAGGGTTTTAATTATTTTAAAAGTAATTTTGTGTGTATTTTTGTAAGTTTCCTCAACTTCATTGTATAAAAGGTAAAACTATAAATACATTTATTTAAAGACTACCATTTATCTTGTCATTATGCCATTCTTATTTTATCCAATAATCTGTTTTACTAACAGATCTTCCATAGTTTTAATAACATAGTTTAATGTCTAAGGCATTTAGTGTAAAATTATTGTAGACTGTGTCTGAAACAAACAAAAAAGCTTTCTAAGTAGGCAGAGACATTTTTAAGAGGAAGACAAAAAGCTCTTTAGTCCCAAATGAAACTCACAGCCACAATAATTTTATTACTTTCATACTACTGTTGAAATCTTCCCCATAAATTTTATAAATTTTCTACTTTATTCTGACCTCAAATAGATGTTCATTCCTGCTTTTGCACTTCTTTCAGGAGGATGATATTTAATCCGATAGATTGAAATGTGACAATGACCAAATAGCACGTAGCCCTACTCCGAATGGCCATAATGTGAAATCAAGAGTGTGAGAATAGAACTTCCTCAGTCATCACTAATGTCTTCACTGATTGACAAGTTTCCCTAAGGAGGCTCTAGTGGGCAATATACTCAGACGGTCAAGTGGCATATTCTCCAGCAACTGCTTTCATTGGTATGCATTTGACAAAGGTCTTCAGCCCTAATATGGGAATTATCCTCAGATGGAATGTAGCCCTAAAGTTTTGCCAAATGATTTGATAATCTAGTTTCTGCCAGAGGCAATCCTGGAGTTGATTCTTACTGGTGATCCTAAATATTCGTAGTTGACATCTGATGCTGTATTTCCAATGACAACATCTAGATGTGCTTCTCTGATGACAGCATCTGGATGTGCTACCAATATGTCAGATTCAGCTTAACTGTAACCCACTTTCAGGTGTTTCTACCCATTCTTTATAGTCACTCAAAAACATTATATCACTTCAAAATGGTATCACTGTATTTGGACAAAAGTATCAAACATGTTTGGCTATCACAGAGTTTTATTACATCATATATAGACATACATATATATGTCTTAAAACTGTGACTGGTGCATCATATGTAGCTATCATTATTGTTTTCATTGTTATAATTATCACAATAGTTCTTTTTCAGTTCATGTTGACATATGGTTATGATTTCCAAGTTCTTCAAGATTTTTCTGCAATTCATTTCTGTCTTGTAAAACTAAATTTCTTTTGAAATTTAGTACTATCTGGAATTTAATAAGTCTGTTCGATATTACTATTTTTAATTAGGCAAAACTATAGGGTAAGTACAATGAGGCTTAAATGTCTGTATTGCTAGAAGACACAAGTCTCTCTACTTTCTTGGAACAGAAACATTGAGGCATTTGTAGCCTCTCTAAGAAGTCCACCACATAATATAGTCAAAACAATTGAGACAACAAAGCTTTTGGTAAATTTTTACACTATGTAGGTATTAGCATAAACTAATTCAGACACTAAAAGTTAGACATAAAACTTTTAGGCAGTTTATTAGGTTTAATAAAAAAATACATATTTGGACAGTTTAGACATTAAAATAGTTCAGTGCTTCCAAATTTGAGTTTAGTAAACTAAGGCTTAAATAAGTTAAATAACTTCTCTGAAGTCACGTATGAGTTAAATCTCCAATACAGAGATTTTCAAACTCAACTTGGTCTTCCTTCCATAGTAAATTACTTCATGGTTGTGTTTATTCTTTTCTAGGGAGGGTGTGTGTGTGTGTGTGTGTGTGTTTGTGTGTGTGTGTGTGTGTGTGTAGTGGTGGTGGAGATGGAGTGGGGTAAAATATGCATTACCCAGTTTTTTAAAACTATCTTACCTAAAATAAATATTTAATTTAGATACCAACAGACTCACTCTCTTTTCTAGACTTTTTAAAAAAATGTACTTCTACCTCTTTCTCAAATGTTCAAAAAGCCCTAACCATCAACTTCCATTACCTCCAAATATAACAACCCATTTCTTGTTGTTTCACTATGGAAAATATATTGCGTACGGTCTTCTGATTTCTAGTTTCATCATATAAAGCTCTTTTTTTGTAAGTCTACCAGAAACATTGTCAATGGCATTTTAACTACTGAAAGCTAACATGAATTCTGCATAAGTATAACCAGTAATCTTGAGGCTGAAATATTACTAGAATGGAAGCTATACAGGTTCAAAATAAAGGAAAATATTTTCTCTTCAGTTTCTCACAGACGATGATTTGTTTCAAATGGGAATGGGCAAGAAGAAAGTTTATTTCCCATGAATTTTCTTTCCTATCCCTGTGACATAGGACACTGATTATAAGAAGTTGCCACCCAGTGCGGTGGCTCACACCTGTAATACCAGCACTTTTTCGGAGGCTGAAGCGGCTGGATTACTTGAGGTCAGAAGTTGGAGACCAGCGTGGCCAACATGGTGAAACTCTGTCTCTACTAAAAATACAAAAATTAGCAGAACGTGGTGGCAGGTGCCTGTAATCCCAGCTACTTGGGAGTATGACGCAAGAGAATTGCTTGAACCCAGGAGGCAGATGTTGCAGTGAGCTGAGATCGTGACACTGCACTCCAGCCTGGGCGACAAAAAAAAAAAAAAACAAAAAAAAAACAGTTGGCTATGTGGATGTATATCCAGTGTATCTGAAAATGAGGCCACCTCAATTCAAAATTCCAGTATTCCACAATAGAAGTGATTATCAAATTCACACAATATACACCTTCAAATTAGCTAACATGCAATATTTTTCTTTTCCAAGGCCATCAAGAAGATGAGAAGCTGACTTAAGATTCATTTATATTAAGTAAATGAAATGAAATATCTTTCTGTCAATGCCCTAGTCCTCAAATAATAGAAGAATCTGGTGGAGATTAATGGTCATGATTAACTCCCTACAGGTTGTAGTTGCATGCCCTGGCGACTATTTTGTCATTATTCTGCATGAGATGCTATCAGAGCCACATAGCCTTTCAGCCACAAAGCCAGACCAGACCAATAGGTCAAGCTACTGAGCAGCTTGTTATTCCTTCATTCTGACATGCATGCTCATAGCAAATACAATCACAATTACATAATTAAAATGTTAATGTGGACATATTGGGTTATGCAGTGGATTCTATTGTGAAGAATCATAAGATAAATAGATGAAATCACCATTTATTTTTGAAGCATCCAGCATATCCTCATGAGAAATGCTTTAGAAAACCAGCTTTGATCAATTTAATTAGGAGTAGTTTTGAAAGCAATTCTTACACCCTGCCCACGTCTGCATCCCCCTTTCTCATTTTAGATCATTCTGTTTTGTGAATTGTGGATTTTGACTTTCTGCCCATTTCTTACATTCATAGTGATGTGTTCTGCATTTTTGGAGAATGGGACATTTGTCTCTTCGGTGTCTCTGCACTTCCCTCTTTCTATTGGCAAGTAAACTCATAATTCTGAGCTTATGGGTCAAAATTGAAGGTGTATTTCCTATCAAAAAATAGAATGGGCTGCAAATTTAACTCTCTAAAATACAAAGAGAAGATTAATTCTACGCTCTGTTGGGAAATACCTATAAATTTAAAATTGATTTGTGCTAAATATGACTTCATAATCCTCACCTGTGTGGGATTATGAAGCCCACACAACTTCCAATTGCTACAGGCAAATGCAGCCAGGTTTTGATAACACAGAGGACGACAAAGTACATTTCCCAAAGATAGAAATTTTATACAAATATTTTCATTTTTATTCTTTATAACTTTTTTCCTCTAGTTTTTTTTGTATACACTAAGCAGTATTTGACAATGGTTTTATTTTGCCAGATGATCTTTGTGCCAGTTAAATTGTAGCTGTTCAGTGTTTGAATAGTAAGACTTTGAGTTTTTTATGACTTACAGATATAAGGTATTTTCAACCCTAAGAGCTTAGCGCTTAAAGTTGCAGCTGTGAGTCTTCTATTGCCCTCACCTTTTATTTCTAGGCTTTTAAAAAAATTAATTAATAGGACCATGTTTTGTCATATATTTTTAAAGCTGTCAAAGTACAATCAGTTTAGATAGTACAATGTATTTTTAATATATGTGTAAACATTAAGTAATAGATCTCATTACTTTCCACAATAAAAAATCAGTTTTTTAAAGACATGTTAGCATTGTTATAATAATTAATAATTATTTACAAGATGTACCTCTGTGTGATGATCATTATTTTATTGTAATCACAAACATTTTGTTGCAACTCAATATAAATGCATATATTTTTGGAAACATATACTATTTCGCTTCTCATTACCTTATTCCCAAGTTTTCTAGGATAGAAGATAAACAGGAAATATGTGCATGAAAAAATTAGACACCAGTGAGCAAAACTCTATTTACAAGTTATCAGCCCTCTAATGGTTTATGATAAGATTATGTGAGAAAAAGAGAAGTCCCTGCAATGGGCTGGAGCCTGTTGCCCAACAGGTTCTGACACAGACTAGTGGTAAGGCAGACACCATAGGCAGGACACAAGTCCACCCTCCCACATAGAATATGACTGTTAGATTAGTGAGGTAGGCAGCCCTAGCTAATTCAGTGGAGGTTACTTCCAGATTTAGACCATTTAGACCATCCAAGGCTCCAATGGGCTGTTTTTATGTGGTGGGACAAGAGAGGAAAACATTCCCATTTTCATATCCCTTTTCAATATCTTCTAGATCTCTAACAATCAAAAATATAATACTCATTTCATGCAGAATGAAGCTAGAGCCTCCTCCTTGGGTTTTCTGAACTATGAAGTTAGAACAATCCAAGCTTTTGTGACCAGTGGATGTTCTGTGCTGTCTATTTTCTCTAAGTTGAAAGCCTTTTCTGAAAATCGTTGCCTATTATAATAATTTGTAGTGCCATAGGCTAACTGACTTTTAGCAAGCTCCTGCTTAAACCACCATTATAACCATTTCCTTCCTGTTCATAAGAAGTAGTTCAGAAGCACAGTACTGACTCCCAGGCACCGTTCAGGCCTACAGCACCAGAAGCATGAGGGAAGTTTATTCTTGTCAAAATACTGTGCAAATCCATTATTTGAGCAAACATTGCCTTTACTTCAAACAGTAATGGCTTTTTATTTTTTCTCACTGGTATTGCAGATCTTTGACATCCTGAGCATTGACATTCTTATCACCTATTCTTATAAAAATACAGAAGAACACCATTCAAACTGGGAGATATTTTTGCTAGAGTATTATTTTCCCCCAGTCCCAAACTACTACTCAATAAACTAGATTTTATAATCGATAAAAAATTCACGTTAACAAAAAGCACATTCTCCAACTGATCAATTGGTTATTATATTATAGGATATGTAGTATGTAAACTGCTGTAAGAAAGTCCCCTGAACATATACTGAATGGTTTCAGGTTGTGCTCATAAAGATTCACTTTTATAAGAATTATATGCAAGCTATTTTAAAAAATTATAAAACTAAGCTAAATATATGAAACATTGGTTTTAGACACTGGACAATAAACAGCATAAGACTGTGGTCTCTGAAGAAATGGAAAGAGATGAGGTGAGATATTTCCTCGGATGCAGTGTAGCAAGTAGAAAGTGAAATACAGCCCAGCCTTCTGGTTGAATTAGGAAACATAGATTAGAATTCAGAGAGGTAAAGGTGATTAAAATTTACAGGATGAACTACTGGAAGGAGATGCAGCACAGAAATCTCCAGATATATTCACTTTGGTGCTGTGAACTCTCATCTGGATTCTCTACTGCATGTGAGTGAGAGGAAGCTACTGAAAGGTGGAAAAAGAATCATCAGAATTCATTAGGTAAAACACTTTTGAGAGCTGAAAACAGTTTATGATCCCAGCAGCCGGGAGGGAGAAGCCTGAGTTATATGGCACACTGGGAAGATTCCTCATAAAAGGGCTTTCTGCGATAGGCAGAGCAATACCCTCCCACACAAAAAAATCTAATTTCCACACTTAAGGTGTGATTCCTGGTATAGATTATGTTACTTGGCAAAAGGGACTTCACAGGTGGAAATAAAGTTATGGATGTTAAAGCTGGAAGATTATTTTGAATTATACTGGTGGGCTAAATGTAATTACATGGGTCCTTAAAAGTGAAAGAGGAAGGAAGAACAGTCAACCAGAGATTGGGCAACAGAGGGAAAAATGGGGAATTTAAAATTTGAAAGGGTCTCGATCTGATCTGCCAGGTTTTAGGGTCAAGCAAGGTGGCTATGAGCCAAGGAATAAAAGTGACTTCTAAAAGCTGGAACAACCCTAAGCTGACAGTCAGCAAGCAAATCGGCACTTCAGTCCTACAACCACAAGGAATTAATTCTGCCAACAATGTGAATGAATAAGGAATTGGTTTCTCCCTAGTATGTCTTTGTAGAGATAGAGTAATATAACCAAGTGATTGTTATTGAAGATTGCTTTCTGAATCCATGATTTTTAACACTATATTTTCATGTTTGCATCCAAAGTGAAAAACATGAAGTGAGAAAAGTGCTATAATTATCAGGGAGTCTTGATTGATCAAAGGTAGGCTATAATCACAGCAAAATGCGAGCCTTAAGAACAAAAAATATCAAAAGTGTTAATATATATTTATAGCAAGCTATGATTGTGCTGCTGCACTCTGGTCTGGGCAACAGAGCAAGACCCTGACTCTAAATAAATAAATAAATAAATAAATAAATACATGTATTTAGAATAAACTAACAGAGTTCAGAAGTCAGTAATCAAGGATGTGCTAAATAATTTTGATGTTCAGGTTTCATTAATATATTTTTGGTAAACAAAGAAAAATAAAAGCACAATGTGCAAAAATTTAAAGCCTGTAAGATATGGCATAGGTGAAAAAATATGAGCTACATAGTTCCAAATTTAATAAAGGATAGATCTGTTTCAATCAAAGTCACTATAAATGATGGAAAAATTTTATTTTCCATTTTGAAGAAAACTTTGGATTATTTTAGGAGACAGACAAAAAAGTGACCTTTTTTTACTCATAAACAGTTGATTGCCTTCATGAAGATGAACAAAGACAATTGTATTCTGTTCTTGTGTTTTGTATCTCTACATTGGTATATAGGAAAATATACATATTCATTTCATTTCAAAAATATATTATTTGATTATTTTTAATGCTTCTTTTTGTGCAATATCAAGACATTCAAATTAGTATCTTTGATTATCAAGCTATATTTAATCAAATAATACTTTTTAAATGAAAGAAGCACTTACTTGTATTGAAGTTCATATATGTGTTAAAGAATAACCATAGTTTGTAAAAACTAGTATTAACTAATTCAAAAGTAGTTCAAATACCAAAGCTTTGTTGAATTGTTATCTTTATTTGAATGTGCCATTTGCAAATGTGTGATCTGCAATTTTGGCAAACAAGGAGAGATGAATCAATTGGCATAATATTAGTCTTAACCTCTAATGTACTTCATATATTCAAGACACTTTTCTTTATGAAAATGTTAATTAGGAGTTAAAATGATTAGTGTATGTCATATGTATAATAACATTTAAAAATTTTAACTATACTTAGGACCCCAAAAGCTTTTGGTTTATATATAAAAATCTGTGACATTTTAAAGTAACAATATCGATATGAACTTTTGATTAATATAAAATTTTAATTAAGCATTGTTTATTGTATCAGTTCTTACAAATATACTGCTATAAAAATGCAAAGAATAAAAGAATGAATATCATTTGAGGTCAAAATATAAAACAAAATGGACATGCCTATTTACATGAATAAAATTAAGATGTTTATATCAATATTTACAATGTAAAAAGGATAATAAATGAACTATTCCAGAAAAGGAGATATACTCAACTTACAAATATTGTGAAAATGCAAATAGTGCTGATAATTCATTAGGCTTTATAAACAGAAACAGAAGGCAATACACTTATTTGAACTTTGCTTCAATGAAGTAACAACTTTATTCCTTCTATTCACTTTATTTACACATCTAAAATCAGCACGTTTTGTTCTATGTATTTATTTAAATAAGATTAAGGCTCATCCTCTTTCAATACTTTTTGAGTCAAAAACTAATTTTGCATGTCTACTGCTTCCCTGTGTAAGCAGCATGATTTTCAAGTATAGAAATAAACCCTTTTTTTCCCTCTTGAAGAAGCAATAATTTGCCAGGGCTATCATAATCCTGAAGAACTGTAAGACAGTACATTAAACAATAGAAATGTACTGTCTTTTAATTCTGAAGTCTGGACATTCAGGATCATCTTGTTGGCAGGGTGGGTTTCTTCTGAAGGCTCTGAAAGTATCTGCTCTGTGCCTCTTGGCTTTTAGTAGTTTGCTGTTCACCTTAGACATTCCTTGACTTGCAGAAGCGTCATTTGGATTGTGGCCTTCACCTCCACATGGCATTCTCCCCGAGTGAGTGTCTGTTTCCAAATTTTCTCTCTATTGATTGACATGAGTTAATACGGCCAAACCTAATGGCCTCATTTTAACTTGATCACCGCTGGAAAGATGTCTCCAAAAAACGTCACAGTCTGAAGCCCTGGGGGAGAGGACTTCAGCATAGGAGTTGGAGGGGAACACAAGTCAAACTGTACGAGGGAGTTTCAGGTTTTTAGTGAAAAAAAAAAAGAGTTTATGAAACAATATTAACATAAAGCAAAGTTTTACAAACCCCTACAAAAAGATGTAAAACATCAATATTAAGAGAGATTATTTATGGTTAACTAAACAATGGATTATTGTAAAACCTATTGGAAGAATTTCCAGAAAGCTTGAGATTTTGAGTTAGGTGTTGAAGTATTTAATAGAATGAATTGTCAGAAATATGTATTGGCAGAGAAAAGACATGGAACCAAATATTAGAGGTATACTAAAACATTCTGGGATAAGAGATGGCAATGAGTAACTTAAAAAACTCTGTGCATATCATCTTGGACCTCTGACTGCATCAGTTTTCAGAAATAATGTTCAAGACTATAGAACTACAGGGAAATCAGTTAAAGAAGGTCATGTGAGGTTGAGGAGTTTTGATCGAAATAGTATAATATAGGAAAACACTAGAGTTAGAGAGCAAGATAGTACAAAAAAAGATATTTCTGGCAAATTATTTTAGCACTGAGTACAGGAGAAAAAAAGAGACTCTCAGGGAAGTTAGGCATTTGTAACAAAGTAAACACTTGTTAGTGACTGCTTTAGAAAGTATAAGAAAGTAAAATATGGGTATAAATACAATGACTGTAATTCACAATAAACAGGATCTAAAATCTGATATCTGAAGCAAGGTGAAATACACACATTTTGGATATTGTACCGAATCACAGCATTTTGTGTAGACTATTCTGTTAGTGTTTAGTTGTCTTCTTTAAGTTCATTTTTAATGAGATAGCTAGAAGTAGTAATAGCTGCTGTATCCTTTTCTTTCCATTAAACTTGTAAGGTAGAATTTTAAGGTTTATGTATTAAATACTTTAATAAAAATACTTTTTTAGTATATTGTTATACATTCACACATACACACATATATAAATACATACATTTGAGCAGGATAATTTTGTAATTTGCACCTGGATGAAAATATATGAACTTACTATATTTTTTTCTTTTCTTAATTAAATTAAATTTTAATTTTATTATTTTTATGTTCCAGGCTATATGTGCAGAATGTGTAGGTTTGCTACATAGGTAACATGGTGGTTTGCTGCGGCTATCTACCCATCACCTAGATATTAAGCCCAGCATGTATTAGCTCTTTATCCTAATGCTCTGCCCGCAGCCTGCCCTCCCCCAACAGGCCCCATTGTTGCTTGTTCCCCTTTCTGTGTTCATGTGTTCTCATTGTTCAGCTTCCATTTATAAGTGAGAACATGCTGTGTTTGGTTTTGTGTTCCTGTGTTAGTTGCTGAGGATAATGGCTTCCAGCTTGATCCATGTCCCTTGAAAAGGACATAATCTCATTCCTTTTTATGGCTGCATGGTATTCCATGGTGTATATGTATCATGTTTTCTTTATCAAGTCTATCATTGATGGGCATTTGGATTGAATCCATGTCTTTGCTATTGTGAACAGTGCTCCAATGAGCATACACATCGATGTATTTTTATAGTGGAATGATTTATATTTCTTTGTGTATATACCCAGTAATGAGATTCTGGGTCAAATGCTATTTCTGGTTCTTAATCTTTGCAGAATTGCCATAATGTCTTCTACAATGGTTGAATTAATTTACATTTCCACCAACAGTGTAAAAGCATTCCTATTTTTCCACAACCTCACCAGCATCTGTTGATTCTTGACTTTTTAATTATCACCATTCTGACTAGTGTGAGATGGTATCTCATTGTGGTTTTAATTTGCAATTCTCTAATTATCAGTGGTGTTGAGCTATTTTTCATATGTTTGTTGGCCATATAAAAGTCTTCTTTTGAGAAGTGTCTGTTCATGGCCTTTGCCCACTTTTTAATGGGGTTGTTTGTTTTATTTTTTGTAAATTTGCTGAAGTTCCTTGTAGACTCTGGGTATTAGACCTTTGCCAGATGGATAGATTGCAAAAATTTTATTCCATTCTGTAGGTTGTCTGTTCACTCTAATGACAGTTTCTTTTGCTGTGCAGAAGCTCTTTAGTTTAATTAGATCACATTGGTCAATTTTTACTCTTGTTGCAATTGCTTTTGGTGATTTCCTCATAAAATCTTTGCCCATGCCTGTGTCCTGAATGGTATTGCCTAGGTTTTCTTATAGGGTTCTTATGGTTTTGAGTTTTACATTTAAGTTTTTAATCCATCTTGAGTTAATTTTTGTGTAAGTTGTAAAGAAGGGGAACAGTTTCAATTTTCTGCTTATGGCTAGCCAGTTTTCCCAGTGCCATTTGTTAAATAGAAATTCCTTTTCCCATTGCTTGTTTTGTCAGGTTTGTTGGAGATCAGATGGCTGTAGATGTGAGGTTTTATTTGTGAGTTCTCTATTCTGTTCCACTGGTCTATGTGCCTGTTTTTGTACCAGTACCATGCTGTTTTGGTCACTGTTGCCTTGTAGTATAGTTTGAAGTCAGGTAGTGTGATGCCTCCAGCTTTGTTCTTTTAGCTTAGGATTGTCCTGGCTATATTGTATTCTTTTTCAGTTCCATATGAATTTTAAAATAGGTTTTTTTTTCTAATTGTGTGAAGAGTATCAATGACAATTTAATGGGAATAGCATTGAATCTATACATTGCTTTGGGCAGCATCGCCATTTTCATATTGATTCTTCCTATCTTTTAGCATAGAATGTTTTTCCACCTGCTTATGTCCTCTCTGATTTCCTTGAGCAATGTTTTGTAGTTCTTGAAGAGGTCCTTCACTTCCCTTGTTAGCTGTATTCCTAGGTATTTTATTCTCTTTGTGGCAACTGTGAATGGGAGTTCATTCATGATTTGGCTCTCTGCTTGTCTCTTGTTGGTATAAAGGAATGCTTGTGATTTCTGCACATTGATTTTGTCTCCTGAGACTTTGCTGAATTTGCTTATCTGCTTAAGAAGCTTTTGGCCTGAGTCAATGGATTTTCTAGATAGAGGATCATGTCATCTGCAAACAAAGACAATTTGACCGCCTCTCTTCCTATTTGAATATGCTTTATTTCCTTCTCTTGACTAATTGTCCTGGCCAGAACTTCCAATGTTATGTTGAATAAGAGTGGTGAGAGACAGCATCCTTGTCTTTTGCCGGTTTTCAAGGGGAATGTTTCCAACTTTTGCCCATTCATTATGATATTTGCTGTTGGTCTGTCATATATGACTCTTATTATTTTGCAGTATGTTCCTTCAATACCTAGGTTATCAAGAGTTTTTTACATGAGGAGATGTTGAATTTTATTGAAGGTCTTTTCTGTGTCTATTGAGATAATCATCTGGTTTTATCTTTAGTTTTGTGTATGTGATGAATTACGTATATTGATTTGTGTGTGTTAAACCAGTCTTGGGTCCTGGGGATGAAGCCAACTTGATTGTGGTGGATAAGCTTTTAGACGTGCTGCTGGATTCAGTTTGCCAGTATTTTATTGGGGATTCTTGCATTGATGTTCATCAGGGATATTGGCCTAAAGTTTTCCTTTTTTGTTGTATCTCTGCCAGGTTTTGGTATCAGGATGATGCTGACCTCTTTAAAGGAGTTCCCCTTTTCGATTCTTTGGAATAGTTTCAGAAGAAATGGTGCCAGCTCCTCTTTGTATCTCTGGTAGAATTCAGCTGTAAATCCATCTGGTTCTGGGCTTTTTTTTTTTCCCCATTGGTAGGCTATTTATTACTACCTGAATTTCGGAACTTGTTATTGGTCTATTCAGGGATTAAACTTCTTCCTAGTTCAGTCTTGAGAGGGTGTATGTGTCCAGGAATTTATCCATTTCTTCTAGATTTTCCAGTTTATTTGCATAGAGGTGTTTATTGTATTCTCTGATGTTGTTTGTATTTCTGTGGGGTCAGTGGTGTTATCCCCCTTATCATTTCTGATTGTATTTTTTTGAATCTTCTCTCTTTTCTTCTTTATGAGCTTAACTAGAGGTCTGTCTATTTTACTGATTTTTTTTCACAAAACCAGCTCCTGGATTCATTGATGTTTTGAAGGGTTTTTGTGTCTCTATTTCCTTCAGTTCTCTTCTGAACTTGGTTATTTCTTGTCTCCTGCTAACTCTGGGGTTTGTTTGTTCTTGGTTCTCTAGTTCTTTTAGTTGTGATGTTAGGATGTCAGTTTGAGATCTTTCCAGCTTTTTCATGTGGACATTTAGTGCTATAAATTTCTCTTTTAACACTGCTTTAGCTGTGTCCCTGAGATTCTGGTATGTTCTCTCTTTGTTATCATTAGTTTCAAAGATTTGTGGCTTAATTTTGTCATTTACTTGGAAGTCATCCAGGAGCAAGTTGTTCAATTTCCATGTAGTTGTGTGGTTTTGAGTGGGTTTCTTAATCTTGAGTCCTAATTTGATTGCACTGTTCTGAAAGACAGTTTGTTATGACTTCAGTTATTTTGCATTTGCTGAGTAGTGTTTTACCTCCAATTACGTGATCAATTTGAGAGTAAGTGTCATGTGGTGCCGAGATAAAATGTATATTCTGTTGTTTTTGGGTGGAGAGTTCTGTAGGTATCTATGAGGTCCACTTGGTCCAGAGCTGAGTTCAAGTTCTGAATATCTTGTTAATTTTCTGTCTAAATGATCTGTCTAATACTAACAGTGGGGTATTAAAATCTCCCACTATTATTGTGTGGTGGTCTAAGTCTCTTTGTAGGTCTTGTTTTATGAATCTGGGTGCTCTTGTATTGGGTGCATACATATTTAGGATAGTTAGCTCTTCATGTTGAATTGAAGCTTCTACCATTGTGTAATGCTATTTGTCTTTTTTGACAAATTTGTTGGTTTAAAGCCTACCTTTTGTCAGAAACTAGGATTGCAACCCCCACTTTTTTCTGCTTTTCATTTGCTTGGTAAATTTTCCTCCATCCCTTTATTTTGATCCTAGGTGTGTTTTTGCATGTGAGACACGTCTCTTGAATACAGCACACCAATGAGTCTTGTCATTTTATCCAGCTTGCCATTCTGTGTCTTTTAATTGGGGCATTTAGCTCATTTACATCAAAGGATAATATTGTTATGTGTGAATCTGATCCTGTCATCATAATGCTGACTGATTAATTTTGCAAACTAGTTTATTTAGTTGCTTCATAGTGTCATTGGCCTGTGTACTTCACTGTGTTTTTGTAATGGCTGGCAATGGTTTTTCCTTTCTATGTTTAGTGCTTTCTACAGGAGCTCTTGCAAGGCAGGCCTGGTGGTGACAAAATCCCTCAGGTTTTGCTTGTGTGAAAAGGATTCTATTTCTCCTTCTCTTATAAAGCTGAGTTTGGCTGGATATGAAATTCTTGGTTGGAAATTCTTTTCTTTAAGAATGTTGAATATTGACCCTCAATCTCTTCTGGCTTTTCAGGGTTTTCACTGAGTAGTCTGCTGTTAGTCTGATTGGCTTCTCTTTGTAGGTAACCTCACCTTTCTTTCTGCCTGTCTTTAATATTTTTTCCTTCATTTTGACCTTGGAGAATCTGATGATTATATGTCTTGGGGTTGATCTTGTGGAATATCTTATTGGGGTTCTCTGAATTTCCTGAATCTGAATAATGGCTTGTCTTGCCAGGTTGGGGAAGTTCCCCTGGATGATATTCTCTAGTGTGTTTTCCATCTCGGTTCCATTTTCCTCATCTCTTTTGGGTACTCCAATCCATCACAGATTCAGTCTTTTTACATAGTCCCATAGTTCTCAGAGGTTTTGTTCATTCCTTTTTATTCTTTTTTCTCTAGTCTTGTCTGCCTGCCTTATTTCAGCAAGATGGTCTTCAAGCTCTGATATTCTCTCTTCCAGTTGTTTGGTTCAGCTATTGATACTTGTGTTTTCATCATAAAGTTCTCATGCTCTGTTTCTCAGCTCTATCAGGTAATTTATGTTCCTCTCTAAACTGGTTATTTTAGTTAACAGCTCCTGTAATCATTTATCATGATTCTTAGCTTCTTTGCTTTGGGTTAGAACATAATCCTTTAGCTTAGCCACTTTCTGAAGCCTACTTCTGTCGGTTTGTCCATTCTCAGCTTCAGCCCAGTTCTGTGCCCTTGCTGGAGAGGTGTTGCAATCATTTGGAGGAGAAGAGGCATGCTGGCTTTTGGAATTTTCAGCATTTTTATGTTTTGCTTTTTGCGTTTTGTTTTTTCCTCGTCTTTGTGGATTTACCTAACTTTGATCTTTGAAGCTGCTGACCTTTGGATGGCATTTTCGTGGGGTCATTTTTGTTGATGTTGTGTTGTTGTTGTTTTTGCTTTCTGTTTGTTTTTCTTCTAACAGTCAGGCCTCTTTTCTGCAGGTCTGCTGCAGTTTGCTGGGGGCCCACTCCAGACCCTGTTTACCTGGGTATCACCAGTGGAGGCTGCAGAACAGCAAAGGTTGCTCCCTGCTCCTTCCTCCGGAAGCTTCGTCCCAGAGGGGCACTGACCTAGTGCCAGCCAGAGCTCTCCCATATGAGGTGTCTAGAAACCCCTGTTGGGAGATCTTCCCAAGTCAGGAGGCACAGGATCAAAGCCCCCCTTATGGATGGAGTCTGGCTGCTCCTTAGCAGAGCTGGAGTGCTGTGGTGGGGAAATCCCTCTGGTCTGGAATGTCTGGACTCTTCAGAGTCAGCAGGCAGGAAAGATTAGGTCCCCTGAACCTGAGACCATGGCTGCCCCTCCCCGCTAGGTGCTCGGTCCCAGGGAAATGAGAGTTCTGTCTGCAAACCCCTGGCTTGGGTTGCTAAAGTCCTACAGGGAGGCCCTGCCTGGTGAAAAGGGTTGGATCCAGGTTTCACCTAAACAAAGAGTCTGGCCACGATCTGCCATAGATGCTGTGCTGCCCTGTCGGGAATACCACCCAGTCCAAACCTCCCAGCCTCCCTTGCACTGGCAGGGGAAAACCCAGCCTCCCTTGCACTGGCAGAAGAAAACTACTGACTAGAGCTGCAGTGAACTTATTTCATTCTTAACTGGCCAATATTGTTTTCTTTTGCTACTCTCATTGTCAAACAAGACACTCTCCTGTTTTTTCTTTAAATTCAGAGAAGGATACATTTGGACTTTAAAAACTTTTGAGTCATAAAATATTGCTAAAGATGAGTGGATGAGTGAATCAATTAAGGTCCTGGCTCAATGTGTGTGTGTGTGTGTGTGTGTGTGTGTGTATAGTGGAAGCATATAAAATAATTGAAGTATATGTTTACCTCATACCTTAAGTGAAGGATGAAATATAATTATTTTACCTTTTGCTAATCTAGTTTTCTTCACAAAACTCACTTGCAGATTAGTTGGAGTGATAATTTTGTCAAAATGACCAATTTAAGTTTAGTAGGGTCAATTAATTTAAAGAGTCATATATTGTTTAGGCAGCTTCATCTCCTGGCTAGTAAGCTGCCCAGCCAGCTCCTTCTCTTTTTCTCATTTTTCTCCAGGTGAACTGCAGGAAGAAGGCAGGGCAGGCATATTTATGGGTGGTAGTTGGGAGGAATAAGTGTCCTGGAACATGGAGCCATCTGCCCCCTCTGATTTCCAGGGTGTTGCTTTTCAGCCTGTAAATTCTGCGGCCTGCATAAGTCCTATGTGGACAGATCCACAGTGATTCTAGGCTAAGATGAACCCCGCCTCAGTAAATGCTGACACTACAAAACCCTGGAGCTCTGGCACTGGTAATCATTAGGCCCCAGACTTTGTAATTCAGTTAGCAGCATTCTCAAAAAGAGCATCTCAGACCTTTGGTAGTGAATCTGTCCAGCAGTCCCCCCAGCAAGAATCTCAGGGCTTCTGGGCTTCCTTCCAGAATGAAGTATATCCTTACAAAGTTAAACTGCAGAGTTAAAGCTACAGAATGTCTTAGTCAGACCATGCCGTGTTGCTAGTGTTGCTGCTCCTCAGGTTGTTGCATTCAAGTTCCTAAACAGGGAATAAGTTCGCAAGCCAACATCAGCCCTCAAAAAGTCTTTAATCGTCTCATAAACTTGGCCTTTGTTTCCCCCAAGCAAGAGACTACAGAAGGGACATACTCTGTGGGTTCTAACCTTGTTGCTATCTTCTCTTCTTCTTCTTATCATTCCTGTGGGCTAGGTTATATCCTCCTTCTGAGTTGGAACAGCAGGCCTTTACTGAGTTAACAAGGAGCTGTATAGTCTACATTGCATGAGAGTATGAACTGAAGACCTCAGGGCTTGGTTTTTGATAGCTAGAACACTGATAAAGGACCTGGAAAACCCTTTTCTTCTCAACAATACCTATTTCTACACCTAGTATCTAGCTGCCAAGTGATTTTAAATCTGTATTTCAAATATGGATGTTTTGATCCGCTTTTGTTTTGTTATCGGTAAGCCTCCTAAATGCAGATATATTGATATGTACATATACCTACATATATAAAATGTGAACAAAAAATTTAACAATAACCTTAAACAACTATGTATTGTCTCCTGATATATTAAATAATGATAATGTACACATATTAATAAAGAAGTAGCTGCAATACAGTGGAAATAAATGTAGAAAAAATGTGCTGTCAAAGTTTAGAGCTCTTTGGTCTCCATAATGTCCATAACAAATTGACTAAACAAACATTGTCTTTAATAGAAAAATATGTTAAAATTGCATTTATTAATTAGTATATTTAGTAGAAATGGTTATTGTCCTGTGTTTAAAGATATATCTGAATCTAAGAAAACTAATTATAATCTATTTTATACAAGTCTAAATTCACACTGAGAAAAGTTTGTTTGTTAAACAAGATTTTAAACAATTAAATATTAAAGAAACTAATTTGCCAATCAGCAGGGACTGTAGTGAGTGGTGCTTTAGTGAAGTGGCACTTCCTATGTGAATGTGAGTAACAATGTTTATAATCAAATGTCTTAAATCATTGGATAGAAAAGAGCTCATTTCATATGGATAAAATACAATAAAAATTTATCTCCGTTTAACACAAAATAGGTGAGTTTCTAACTAAAACTACATAAATTTACTTTGACTTAGTCTGTGCATACACACACAACTTTGCCAGATCTCTGTCCCAATCTCTTGTCTCCCTCCTGTCTCTCTCTTTCTCATGTACAAATGCAAATGCACTTTTTTGAAAGTATGTGAATATTCAATACTTAAAAGTTATGGGCCAGGTGCACTGGCTCATGCCTGTAATCCTAGCACTTTGGGAGGCCAAGGTGGGCAGATCACTTGAGGTCAGGAGTTCGAGACCAGCCTGGCCAATATGGTGAAATGCCATCTCTACTAAAAATACAAAAATTAGCCAGGCGTGCTGGCACATGCCTGTAACCCAGCTACTTGGGAGGCTGAGGCAGGAGAATTGCTTGAACCTGGGAGGCGGAGGTTACAGTGACTGGAGATCGCGTCATTGCACTCCAGCCTGGGTGAAGAAGCGAGACTCCATCTAAAAAAAATAAGTTATGATCCTTGCTTGTGTTTCCATTATCATATTCCAGCATATGAGAAATTACCAGCTATAAATGAGTTTTAAGATTACATTGAAGGCAGGTTGTCTGATGTATCACCGTCATAATTGTAATATAAAGAATACAAATATAGATTCAACTAAACTGAGATGTGCAGAGAGTCAGCATGTAACATGCTGTCAGAGGGAAAGCAATGCCCGAAAGCATGCTTGTTTCTCAGCCAGCACTCTTCACAGGCTTACAGACCAATTAAAATGTCAACTCAGCTGATTGCAAAGAATAGAAAGACATTTGCAAAAAGCATGCATGAGCAAACTTGCTTTCAGAAAACGTTTTCCTAGCATTAGTAAAAATTAATGTTTTCAGCAACATACCACTTGGATAGTGATTGAAATGAGATTACAAAGACAGTGACTCCTATCATGCACAAAGATGAAACACATTAAGCAACTGTGCATAAAAATGAACTGCAGTACATTAAAATGAGGAATTTCATTTGCCCTGTTAAAGTCCTACATCTTGTGGTTTCATGTCTAGCATAAAAACAAGGCAAGTAGCTACTTCAAAGAAAGTAAAATGCAAGAATTTTGATTCATTGGTTGCATAATAATCATTATTGATTTAGAAATCATATTCCACAGAATAATTGATATGGCTGTGAGTTATTGGATTTTTATTCCTCAATGTGCTTTACAGAAGAATTACAAGTGCGTGCGCATAAATTAGAAATAAAATTATTTTAAATCAAGAATTAGAATTGTAGTGAAAACCACTTCCTAACGGGTTTTAGATTATCCTAAGAACATATGTTCAGAGAGGGTTTTATTTTTTAACATTAATTTATTGGTCCTGAAATGTTCCAGAAATGTAAAACAAGGTGCTCTCTTGCCTTTAGGAAGGGAGCTAACATTTCAGATGTCTCTACTACTGCCTCACATTAATATTACTTAACATTCAACTGAAAAGAAATTCCATATGATTCCCTTTGGATAATTCATATATTATCCTCACTATTATAAATATGTAACTGCACTGTTGCTGAAGAAATATATTCAGGTGCAGTGAACTATAATTAGAGATATTACACATAAACCATAGTTTCACCAGTCATTTATTAAAGGATAAGATTCATTCTTATCATATATTTATGAAGTACCTTTAATAGCAATTGCTGTCTTAAAAGGAGTAGGAGACATGGTTATTTGTGTCAAATGGCTTACATTCTGTATTAGTTTGCTAGGGGTACTGTAATAAAACATCAGAAACTAGGTGGCTTAAATGACAGAAATTTAATTTCTCATAGTGAAGGCTAGGAGTTCAAGATCAAAGTGTCAGCAGGTTTGGTTACTTCTGAAATCCCTCTTGGCTTGCAGCTGGCTAACTTCCCGCTGTGGACTCACATGATCTTCCATCAGTGGGTATTTGTTTCTGACGTCTTTCTCTGTATGGCCAAATTTTCTCTTTTTGTAAGAACACTAGTGATATTGAAACAGGGCCCACTTTGAATACCTCATTTTAACTTTATCACCTCTTTAAAGACTTTTATCTCACAACACGATTACATATTGAGGTACCCCATAATACATCCTAATTGTTCACAGAAAAAGTTGACTACAATTCAATGTATGAAATATTCGAAGAGGGTTTTTTTTCAGGTTTTATTCATTAGTTTCACTGTCAAAAAACATTTTTATTGGAAATACAAATGTATGCACGTGTGTGTGTGTGTGTATGTGTGTGTGTGTAACTTGTGCTTGGTTCTATTCCCAGTTACCCCTACAAGAACCTTGCTCCAGAAATCATCCTCTTTCTCTTCTGAGTCAGTTTTTCTTCCCTGCTGAGTTATTGTAATCAGCCTACAAACGCATTTGCCATTAACTCTACACTTAAAAATATCTTCTCTTTAACCCATTTCTCCCTTCAACTACTGCCCCATGTATCTGCTCCGCTTTAAAAGAAAATATTTTAAATTTTGGGGCCTACATTCATTGTCTCATACTTTCTTCTCTTTATTCTCTTGTGTACTCATTTAAACACCACTTTATCAAAATAACTCCAGTCAAGTTCACCAGTGATTGCCAGTTTGCTAAATCCTATGGCTAATTCAAACTCCTAAGTCTTATTTGCATTATCAACAAAAAATACTTATTCATTGGATCATTCTTCTTCTGAAACACTTTGTGGACAGAAGGCTTGATTGTTTTTGTTTTATCACCCTCTACATCACTAGCCCCTCATTTTCAAACCATTTTGCTTGACTTGCCTCGCCTCCCCAAACTTATACTTTTCCTAGTCAAGAAATAAAACATTTCAATATGTCCAGAATTTGCTCTATGCTCCTTTGCCATTGATTGACACCTCACACCTCCCAACTCAGCTTCAGGCAATCATTGGCATTTTCTAACTTTTAGTACTGGTGTAATATCTGGGTCAATTATTTCATTTTTAATCTTCTCTCTAGGGCTTCTGTTTCCCTTGAGGCACTATTTTTACTAATTAAAATTTTTTTTCTCCAGGTGGATATAGTCCCATTTCAGAACACACAGTTTGGTGAGAGGTTATGCTAGATGTTAGCTACTGCTCACCTTTTAGCTGACTGGTCTTGTGCAGTGCACAACCAGTACTACCAATCATGACCATGCCTGTTTAGTGATCTCATGGCTCAGTCTACATGTTGATGATTCTTATATTTGTATATTTATTTTAGATCTTTTCTCTCATTTATACATCCAACTTTTTTCTTGACATTTTACTTGGATGCCAGTAGGCACCTCAAATTTAACATGTTCAAAACTAGATTATCCCCTAAACTGCTACTTTATGATCTCACTTAAGAACAAAGCTGTTAACCCAATTGCTCATCTCTCTTCATATCTCCCTGCCATCTACAAAATCTGGGAATAATTCTTAACTCTTCTTTCTTAATTATTTAAATATATAGGGCCTGAGACGCAAAATGCCTCACTACCCTTGTATTTCAGAGCATGCTTGTATATTAGCACTAAGGTTCTATCCATCCCATTCTCAGCATTCCTCTCAAGAGTGGCCAGTCTGATTCCTCTCAGGTGGGAGCTTAAGTGTGTGGTACAAACTTATGCCAAAGAGTCTGGCCTCTACATCAGACTCTACCATAACGTTTCCATATTCTCTTTTGCATGCATGATTGTTTTGCTATAACAAAGGGCACTAGTCTCTTCTGCCACATTATGCATGGATGCAGAAGAACCTCCCTTTCTCTTTCAAGGGACAGAAATTATAGAAACATTTCTCTGAAACAGAAATTATAGAAACATTTCTCTGAAACTTGTACCAGGCAGCTTTCCTTACCTCTACTTGGTCCTAGTTGTTTATATAACAATGTTCAGTCCCAGATAATCTTCAGTGGGAGCTCTTAGACACCCTAATGCCCTGTCATCCCCTCTTTTCAAAAGGACATCTGCTGCTGGGCGTGGTGGCTCACACCTGTAATCCCAGCACTTTGGAAGACCGAGGGGTCAGATCACCTAGCTCAGGAGTTCGAGACCAACCTCAGCAAAACTCTGTCTCTACCAAAAATACAAAAAAAAAAAAAAAAAAAAAAAAAAAAAAAAAAAAAAAGCCAAGACTGTGTTGTACTCCAGCCTGGGTGACAGAGGAAAACCCTGTCCAAATAAAAATAAATGAATAAAATAAAAAAGGACATCTGCCAGCTGTCTCCATAGTACTATGCCAACAAGAAGTCTGACCTGATCTGTCAGGATGATGCTGAAGAAAAGAGCAAATGCATCATCTAACAGGATAATAATGCCTGCTGATCCTACAACTTAAAAAAAAAAATTACACTTGGATAAATGGGATTTCAACCGCAAACAATCTCACAAAGGACAAATGCACTTCCCTGGATGCTTCTTGACTCCTTTTTCTATTTTATTTTATTATTATTATACTTTAAGTTTTAGGGTATATGTGCACAATGTGCGGGTTTGTTACATATGTATACATGTGCCATATTCGTGTACTGCACCCATTAACTCATCATTTAGCATTAGGTATATCTCCTAATGCTATCCCTCCCCTCTCCTCCCACTCCACAACAGTCCCCGGAGTGTGATGTTCCCCTTCCTGTGTCCATGTGTTCCCGTTGTTCAATTCCCACCTATGAGTGAGAACATGCGGTGTTTGGTTTTTTGTCCTTGCGATAGTTTGCTGAGAATGATGATTTCCAGTTTCATCCATGTCCCTACAAAGAACAGGAACTCATCATTTTTTATGGCTGCATAGTATTCCATGGTGTATATGTGCCACATTTTCTTAATCCAGTCTATTGTTGACTCCTTTTTAATTATTTCAAACTAATATTTTGTAGGAAAGTGTCTTTGTCATTTTTTTCTTCAGATATCACAGAAAGTTTTGGAATAATATGGTGAAAATCACAACAAGAATAAAGACAGAAATTTTTCAATCATCCGTAATTAAAAACTTTGAAAATTTGTATCATCTCCATCATCCAGGCTGGGGGTATTGAGCATTTTTGGCTTTTTCTGTTTTCTAAATACTAATATATAGTCATCAGATGTTGTTTCTTCTATCCATGCTACTTTAAACTGTTATCTTTTTCTTTCTACCTTGCTGTCATGTTGTAAAACTTCACTTGGTACATCTTGTAAGTTATCCTTAACTATTTAATCTTTATCCTTCCAAAGTTTTCTTAGTGGAATCCTGATAAATGAATTGTGTTAACAAATAGCAGAAACACTTTCCATACTCTTGCTGCATATGGATTTTGGCCATGAGAAGGGACTTCTGAATACGACGGATAAACTGTCTTAGTAAGGGATTTGGCTCCCATCATTACATGAGTGGCATGGTTCACCTTCAGGCCCACATGGCTCCTTAATAGTGTACTTTTGGCAAAGAAATAAATGAAATCATCTGTAATTTTAAAAAGAGAGATTTACTGTCTGTCAACTAACTACAAAATGCTTAGTCCATTGAAACGCCACGTGTCAGGCAGACATCTTCCTCAGTGTGCAATTGCTTACACAGGATCCATAATTTTTCTGTTGTTATAAGGTCATTGAGGACCTAGAAGTCAAGTTCAGAGAGGAACCAAAAAGGGAGCCCACATAATCATACTTGGGAGATGATATAGACTTTTGAATCTGTGATTTCCTACCTTAGTGTCATCTACCAGTTTCCTTATCTAGCTGATTAAGATTGCTCACAAAATATCCCTGACCACTCATTAATTAATGAACCCATCTAACCATATGATCAACTATTATTCTAGTTATTATGGAAGAAGGAAGGAAGCTGATGCAAAATTGGATTTGGCTGAACTTCAGGCAAAAATTAATTACGGCCTTGTGACAGATATTGTCTCATTGATTTTCCCAGGTAGAGTTAGTAGATAGTGAATCAAGAAAAATATCTGATGGATATAAGGGTCAGTTCTGTTGTTTCTTACTGGAACATTTCCCCACTCTCTGATTAGATTCAGAATCAGGGTAACTACTGTGGTTGCTTATAGGGGAAAGGAAAAAAAAATAAAGGTTCCTGGAAGAGTGTAATAGAATGTGAATATCTTTTGTGATATAGATTTAGAATTCAACCTGTTCCATTATCTGATTCCACAGAAAACTATAACTTCAATTCCCTCTCAACTGATTCTACCTTCACCACTCCAAGAATTTTCTTCCAATACTTTTCCTAGGTGAAACAACCACAATCACCTCAAATTTTCCTATATTTGAAGTCTACATGGTATGCTTACTGTAACATGCAAACTTAGATTTTTTCTTTGGTGTTTTTTCCAAACAAATTGTAAACTACTTAGCTCCCACTTTTAGGAAATTAGAATATTTGAATTCTGGTATATGTAATACCTTCCTAAAACCCGTAAAAACCTTATAAGAACCTTATAGGCAGAGACTATGCTTTAAATTATTTTATAGCCTTGGTATGTGTACAAAGTAAATACATGAAAGGGAACCATCATTTATTTAAAATATATCAGATTTAAATTAATTGTCTACTTTGTATTTTAAAATACTTGCTAATAATAATCATTGGTCAAGGAAATTAAGTAATATTTTAATTGAAAATAATATTTGTTTAACCTGGAATATTAATATCCTATCTAAAATGTTTATTATTCACATTTATTCATTTGTCATAACATCTGTCTTTAGGAATAAGATTAATTGGAATATCCTGTTTATTCATTTACTTTATCATGTTTATATGTATCTCATTATGTCCTGTCTTCTTGAATAAACAAAAATATATAAGCAAATAATTTTTCAAGTATTATATTTTCTCTCTATTCATGATTTAAAATTTAGTAATTTCATAATAAATTGTTATTAGTAAATAAAATATATACATATTAGGATATAGATGATAATTTGACTGATTTTGTTCTAATCCCAAGCATGAAGCAATCATCAGACTAAACATCAATCATAATTGAGATTGTTTAGAATTTATTTCTATAGCTATACCAAAATATACATAATTCTCGTTTGTCATGATCAAAGACTACAAAATGTGCTTTAAGATGAAATAGATTTTCATTGCATTTCTACTGTATGCAAGATCTAAGTATTGCACTAGATTCTATTTGATGGACTCTAGAAAAAGAATCATCACACTTGAACTTGTCTTCAAGATTTGAAAACACGTAATTTGTCAACATCTTTTGGAATAAACGAGGTTGTAAATCCTGCTTCCAGCCTCTCCAAAGTTAAGAAGTCCTACGGCAATCCGAAAAAAAATACAAGGTAATACATCAATAGGTATAAATTGTTATAAATAGTCATACAAATCATAGTCTTAGGCATTCCATATCAGTCTCTAATTTTCTAACAATCTAGTAAGAAAATTTTTAAAAATAATAAATTAGAAAGAAGACATAACCTATGCTTGATTCTTAACATAAAGTCTGTCTACTTTTTCTAATTTCTCTGTGCTGCATTCTTATCCCAGATACTGCTTGCAAACTTCTGAAACTTCCTTATTTTATATGTATAAATAAATATGCATAGAAATATAAGAACCAGCTCATTTGAAAACTCAGCCCAAAGTCACCTGTATTAAAATTATTTTTCTTAGTTCTTTTGTACTGCATTGTTTTGTTTGCAGTAAATTATCTTACTATATTTTCCATTTGATTAACGGTTGAATTTTATTTGTTTTTTGTAATATTATGAAAACCTATCCAAACTGCTTTTTCCACACTCCAGTGTTTCTCTAAACCTCTTGTTCTCCTATGCGCTTAGAAGGTCATAAAAGAAATGAATTAATGTGTTAAAGAAAAGTGGCCAACAGTGAATTTCTCTACAGCAAATTCTATTTTTTACTTAATATTTTACAAAAGGAAAAAAAATCCAAATTATAATAGGACCACCATAATAAGTACTACAAACCTCTTACAATTAGCATTCATTATCAGATATATAACTTTATGGTGCCATTTTAATGATATCCCATATGTCAAAAATTTTGAAAATAATTTTGAGTTCTATTGAGCCCATTACATTAAAGGCCTAATGACAAATTAATGGAAATGAACATTGTAATCGTTAAAGTCACCCGGTGACTATCAATCTGGATCTTAATTTGTTTAATTAAGTTAATGCCAATCAATTAGTCAAGCAACTTAACTTCATATTTTTCCTGACTCTGCTGATGATAGACTTGTAAATGTTCATAGATGCGAAAGTAAGACATCTGCCAGCACCAACTGAAGGAAGCTATAAAACTGGCATCGGTTTCTAAGACAGAATTTCCATGCATTTTGGGGAAACTGCTAACTTTGGATATAAAGAATTCAATTAGCTAGTAATTGTTCTCCAAAGGAAATGTGAATAGAAGTTCAAAGGCAGACACTCCACAATACACTGTTGGCTAACTTGTCTTAGACACATTGAATTAACCTGAGTATAGAATTTGACTTATTTAGAATAACGAGCTGTTAAATGGGAATTGTTGGGTCCTATTCAATAGAATTAAACAAATCAAGAGCAGACAAATGCGTATCTAGGTGGCATTTAAATTGTATTTTCGTAATGGAAAAGTGAATAGAAATGGGATCTTGGGAACCAGAGCACTTAGGAGACAGATGACCAAGAAAAGTGTTGAGTGTACCTGTTTGGGACAAGAATGATATGTTACTTGAACAGTTGTTTTTTGTAGCGTACAGGGAAAAGTTGCCATGACTCTTCTGGTTTTATTTTCCTTTTTTTTTTTTTTATTACTCTCTTTCTCTCTCCCCCTTTCTTCCTTCCTCTATTGGACACTCTGCCACTGGGAAGATTTATACTCTAGGAAATACAAAATACTATTTACATTTGACTGAAGAATTCACTCACTCATTTTTTCAAAAAATTCCTATTCAGTTCATCAGGTCTTTTTGATTATAGTAATATGCATTCAACAATATTTACATGACATGTATTTATGTCACAATATGTGAGATACACAGATTAGCCATATTTATATTGCTGTTTCTCTTATTGATGTTCATATATTCTTAGTGTTTTTTTTTAATTTTTACTCCCCAGCATGAATATTATTGATTATTGGCATGCTGTCATATCTATGAAGATTGTTTAGGAGTAGGAAATAGCCATGATATATAAGTGAGTTCAGAAAAACAGTATCCTGCTAATGCTTAAGTCACCAGTCAAAAACTTCATGGCATACAGGATAGCTGGAGATGAATAAGATGAATAAGACATCTGAAAACACAATCAGACAAATGACATTTTCTTCCTTTTACATGTCATGTTAAACTTTACTAATGTTTACTAATTTCATTTACTGAGCAATGTATCACCTTGTGGCTCAGCATAAGTCGCAGGATGTTATGGTGTAAGGCCTTAGAGATGAGGTATAAAACTTATGCTAAAAACACTCATAGGGACAGACACACAAACACACCCAGACACACATGCAACCCAAGCACATTACTTAGCTACTACAATCAGCTCATGTACATATGTCACTTGCCACCAAAATAACCCTTGTCAACGATCATCAAAACAAAAGTCTGAACTCCCTCTCTCTAAACTTCCACATACTGAACACAAGGGAAGAGATTTTGTGACTTTTTAAAAAGCATGACGACCAAGCTTGACATTGGTATGATAACAATGAAAGGAAATAAACCAGCAACCTGATACAAGAAGCTGCGGCTTCTTCTAAGATGATCCCTTGGTTCTATGACTCACTTGCCATGTAATCTGTACACACCGCTTACCTCCAGGAGCTGCAGTGTGCCTATGTCAGACACCAATTAAAAAAATATTTAGAGAAAGAAATACATTGGTCAAACATTTTGGAAATGAAGAAGATGAGATATAGGAAAATAACAAAATGTGGTGGAGTGAGGAAGAATATTAAGATCAGAGTCTCAAGCAGGTCTATATGCAGATTAAAAACAGTAGAGAATAATTTAAACTGAAAATTTTATATACTGTTTTTTCTACCTACCTTACAGTGTGGAAAGAAGTTTTATAATAACATTTGCGAAAGTGCAATCTGATGAGTAAAGCACTATGGGAATATCATAGTGCATTTTATTATCAGCAACATTTTTGTGAATGCCTGTAAAATGTAATTGTAAACTGAATGGATAGCTTTAAACTATTTTCTAGGAGGAATCCAGATAGATTTTTGAATTCCATTTATTTGCTACAGAAATATTTATTAAGAGATAGAAATGGTCATGCGATTTGCTGTGCAAGCTTTTAAAAGACATATAAAACATTCAAATTAATTCCCCAAAATAAATATATAAAGGGGAAAAATAAAAGGACATTTAGGACCTCTCCAATGAATGTTTATTTTGACATTGTTATGATTGTTAGGCCCAAAAAGTTATAAGAAAATGTTTTATTTGTGTATAAATACATTTATAGTACTTTTGAAACCTTTATTTGATCAACCTGGACATTTCTGCCTACATGTAAGACTTGTAGCATAAATCTAGATTTTAGGATATTAAAGAAGTTATTTGAATATCTATGTTTGTGATGCATTGTTTATTATTTTTACAATTGATCTGATGTAAAACTTTGGTCATTGGACCAAACTTCCAACTACACTTGTCCCCAGGGGAAATATAGATGAGTTAACAACAGAATTTATCAAGTTAATTTCTGGAACAGCATTTTCACAGAAATTAAAAATTTCCTTGTAATGACAATTAAGAGATTGTCTCTCTGAAGATGTATGTGTTCTTCAGTTCTTAATTTATGTTTTGCTGTAATTTAAGCTCCTAATGTTTGAGCTACATGTGAGATAAAATGCAGGATCTTCTAAGCCCTGGGAATCTTCACATTTAGCAGCACTGTGGAATCTCAGATTCTCTCCACTTTATTATAACTGAAAAAGGAAGACTAGTTTTAGAGTTTTCTTGTTAATATTAATAAGTATTTTTTCATATCTATGGCCTTCATTCATTAATTATAAAAACATACGAAGAAATCTGTACGAAATTATTATGCACAATTTAAGAAAGGAAGTAAGAAAACCAACAGAGAGGCTCACATGCTACGGTGAATTTTGAAGGAGAAACCACTTGTGACTGACGAGTGCATGTAGAAACCATCTAGGCCAAGTCTCCTTGGAGGACAAGCATCAGAGCTGAGTCGATTTTTTTTTTTTTTTTTGGAGACAGAGTCTTGCTCTGTCACCCAGGCTGGAGTGCAGTAGTGCAATCTTGGCTCACTGCAACCTCTGCCTCCCAGGTTTAAGTGATTCTCCTGCCTCAGCCTCCCAGGTAGGTGGGATTACAGATGCCTGCCACCACACCTGGCAAATTTTTGTATTTTTAGTAGAGATGGGGTTTCACTATATTGGCCAGGCTGGTCTCGAACTCCTAACCTCAAGTGATCTGCCTACCTCAGCCTCCCAAAGTGTTGGGATTATAGGCGTGACCCACCACACTCAGCCAGCTGAGTCAAGTTTTTAGCTTTGTATGTTCCTTAGTTTACAAATTACAGAAATACAGGGACAAAATATAAAGATGATTGGAAATACAGCATGAATTTTACTTTCAAGTATCTTATAGCAGTCACAAAGAATATATCACATTAATACATAATTATAAGATCACTTGTAGATTTTTAACTTGCAAAAGAAAAATCATGTCAAACTCAATCATGAACATACATAAAAATCCTAAACAAAATGTGAACAAACATAAGGCAACAAAAAATTCAATTTATTCTGACCATGAAAAATTATAAGCAATCTAATATAAATTATCAAATTAAGAAATTTCAGAAAAATAGATACACAAAATAGCGAGCATTTATTTTTTTATTTTTTTGAGACAGAGTCTCACTCTGTTGCCCAAGCTGGAGTGCATTTGCCTGATCTCGGCCTACTGCAACCTCTGCCTTCCATATTCAAGCGATTCTCCTGCCTCAGCCTCCCGAGTAGCTGGGATTACATGCGCCTGCCAGCACACCCAACTAATTTTTTGTATTTTTTAGTAGAGATGGGGTTTCACTATGTTGGCCAGACTGGTCTTGAACTCCTGACCTCAGGTGATCCACCCACCTCAGCCTCCCAAAGTGCTCGGCGTGAGCCACCACACCCAGCCTGTTTTTTAAATTTATAAAAATTGTTAATTAACTCAAGAAATAAGAAAATACCTTCACCTGCTTATTGGTATACATTAATCAAAGTAAAAACAAACTCACCAACAAATAAAACCAAAAGTTTGAAACAAAACAAAACACTGTATAGGAATGAACACATTGAACTCTGAAAAGGTAAATGTATCGACTTCAAGTCAGGAATGAGACAAGGAGGTCCACAATCACCACTTCTATTCAATGTTGTATTTGAAGTCCTTATCAGAGCAGATAAATTTACAAGGATTGAAAAAGAAAACTTTAAAAATTGTATCTGAAAGGTGTGATCATATGATATTTAATAAGAACATTCAGCAAGCATGGACATTGCAAGTTGAATATAATTCCATTCACTGTTCATAGGGGTTATATCACTTTTAATCTCCACTGAAGATATATTTGCCTATGCCTCTATTAGAATATATATATTATGAAACACTTTTTTTTCTCCCAGTATTATAAAAAATGGCTGGCAAAAAAATGGCTTCTCTGGGACAGTTTATCCATGTTTATCTTATTATGAGAAGGACTGACTCTTGTATATGTTTAAATGCAGTTTACATTTCTTTTTTTCTGTGAGCTATCTGTCTGTATATTTGTCCACTTATGGATTGTTAGTACTTTCTATACTTAGTACTTTCTATACTTTTGAAATATCTATCTAATGAGTGCTGACACTTCGTTGTAATATAAAGTAAAAGCTTTTTCTTCTGGTGTACTATCAATCTCCTAACTTTATGGTATTTTGCATGCAAATTCTTTTTAATGTAACTAAATTGTTCGATCTTTTTTTTTCCTGGGTGTTGAGTAATACCTGGAATGACTTACCCACAATCTGCACCATTTCTCCTATGAACTTAGATTTCTGATTTATTTAGAATTAATGCTGGTGGATGGTGTGAGGATCAATTGGTTTCTTCCATGTGGCTATCCAATTGTTCCAATACCATTTGTTAAAAAGGATTTTACTCATATTTATCGGCAACATCGGTGTTTTGTCACACACTAAATTTCTATGTCTACTTGCATTTTTTTTGGATTTTCTATTTTGTTCTCTTGGGTCATCTGCATATTCTAATAACATTGCATTAACACTTTCAATTGCTAGACACCATCCAACATGTCATTTCCTTTCCAAGTTTCCTGCTTGCTTAATCATCCAGAGGAAATAAATGTTTTAGTTAAACTGGTAGCTCTAGGAAAAGAAATATAATGGTGATTTTATGGAAATTATGTTTAATTTATCAACTAACTTAAGGAATTGCTATTGTTATGGGCTTGAGTCTTTCTTTTCAAAAACATGATAGAATCCCACATTTTTTCAAGATATAATTTAAGTGAAGGCCGAGATTCACTGGGTGAGATTATGGGAGTCAGATTTTCAATCGCATCAAAGAAAATCTTTAAAACGATTAGATAATAGTTATATATACACAGTGGAATACTATTCAGCCTGAAAAAAGAGGAAATCCCGTAATTTGTAATGACAGTCAAATGAGGTTACATAAACTAAAATGTTTCTGCATAGCAAGAGAGGAAGGGGCACTGCATAACAACAGAGGAAGGGGCGCCTCACAGACTAGAAAAAAGTATTCATAAATCATATTTCTGATCAAGGGTCAATATTCAAGCCATGTAAGAAATTCAAACAATTATATAACACTGAGACAAATAACCCAATCGAGAAAACAGGCAAATTACCTAAACAGACATCTCTCAGAAGAAGACACACAAATCCCCAATAGGCCTATGAAAAAAAATTTCAACATCACTAGTCATCAGGAAATGCAAATTAAAACTACAATGAAATATCATGTTACAGCTGTTAGGTTGGCTATTACCAAAAAGATGAAAGATAACAAATGTTGATGAGGATGTAGAGAAAGGGAACCACGTACACTGACAGTGGGAATGATGAAAACTTGTACAGCCATTATGAAAACCATATGGAGGTTCCTCAAAATATTAAAAATAAAACTACCATATGATCTGGCAATCCCACTACTGGGTATCTATTTAAAGGAATAAAATCAATATGCCAAAGACACAGATGCACTCCCATGTTCACTGCAGCACTATTCACAATAGCCCAGA
This sequence comes from Homo sapiens, assembly GCF_000001405.40. Lineage (NCBI taxonomy): Eukaryota > Metazoa > Chordata > Mammalia > Primates > Hominidae > Homo > Homo sapiens. Next base: position 20,509,818 of record NC_000005.10, on the reverse strand, counting down.
TATGGAATTAACCTAAGTGTCCTTCCATAGATGATTGGATAAATAAAATGTGGTATATATACACAATGGAATACTATGCAACCTTAAAAAGAAGAAAATCGGCTGGGCATGATGGCTCATGCCTGTAATCCCAGCACTTTAGGAGGCCAAGGCGGGCGGATCACAAGGTCAGGAGATCGAGACTATCCTGGCCAACATGGTGAAACCCATCTGTATTAAAAATAAAATAACAAAACAAAACAAAACTGGGCGTGGTGGCACGCACCTGTAGTCCCAGATACTAGGGAGGCTGAGGCAGGAGAATCTTGCCTCAGCTTGAACCTGGGAGGCAGAGATTACAGTGAGTGAAGATCGTGCCACTGCACTCCAGCCTGGTGACAGAATGAGACTCCATCTAAAAAAAAAAAAAAAGGGAAATCCTGTCATTTGGGACAACATAGATAAACCTGTAGATTATATTAAGGGAAATAAGCTAGGCACAAAAGGACAAATACCACATGATCTCACTTATATGTAGTATCTAAAAAAGTTTATCTCACAGAAGCAGAGAGTAGAATGGGGCAGGGTGCGGTTAGGGATTGAAGAAATGTTGGACAAAGGATACAAAATTTCTGTTAGGGAGGAGAACAAATTCAAGAGATCTATTGTACAACATGGGGACTATAATTGATAACAATGTATTGTATATTTGACAATTAAAAAGAGAGCAGATTTTAAGTGCTTTTATCACTAATTAATGATAAGCATGTGAATTAGAGCACATTAATTAACTCAATTTAGTCATTGCACAGTATATACAAATATCAAAATGTTATGTCTTACACAATAAATATGTACAATTTTTAATTGTCAATTATAAAAAGTAAAACAATAATGACAAAACAATTACAGCCACTAGACATTAGGAGGGTGTGACTTTTTTAGGTAGTTAAGTTTCTATTATTTGGGCAGAGATAGAATGATAAAATGATTGAGATAGTAATTATGAAAATTCATATAATATAGTTTACATATTATTTCTACAGAATAAATTTTAATTATCAAAATATTTTATTTTACCAACAATGGAACTGAGACTCATAGAAAATAGCTGCTGCACCTAAGATCACTACTGTGATAAATAGAATTGTATAAAGCTAGCTTTTCTTACTCCTGCAAACTCTATATTCTTGCCACACACAGGATCATGTTAATCAACTTATTTCTTTACCTCCTGAGAGGTTGGGGTAAATGAATTTTGAAATATTTCCCACCTAAAATAAAATCTCCCAATGTGTGTACCACAAAAAATTATTTTCTTATACAGTTAATAATTATCCCTCAATTAAAATAAACTCTACTTAATTATACTTGAGTCATGCTACTTTAGATAAATTTCATTACTGCAGGACTTCTCAAAGGATATAATATACTACTATAGCTTATCAGCAAAAGTTTTCCAAATAAATATACATATATATATATATATATATATATATATATATATATATATATAATCATAGTCATAAAACTATGTAAGGTGTTAGGTAACACAATTACAGAAGGACCTTATATATAAAAACAACTAGTATTTGTTGAATTTCTGAGCCTTGAACTCTGAAGTGACATTGTGTTTTAAGAAAAGTTTTATTACCCTCATGGAGAAGAAGATATATGTTAAGTGGACTACATAAAGACATTTGCCAGAAGATTTTTAAAGAATTTTAAGATACATTTTGTCCCTCTTATTTTTCCACACCATTTCACTAGAAACTATTTCATTTCACTCATTAGAGAGAAGCTATTTTATTTGATAACTTTCTTCCTTGATAAATGGAAAACACTTAAATATTGTCATATAGCAAGTAAAAAGTCCTAATAAATAGTGAGGCTATACTGTTTTCAAATGTGAGTAATAGAAAAGTCCTGCGTGTCTAGATATTGCCTTAAAAGAAATTTAGAATGCTTAGGTTGCCTAAAAAGTTTAATTTAGTTGGGCAAAATTTTCTAAACGTGTATGCTCAAAATGCCCTTATGTAGAGTCACAGTAAGCATTAAACCTTGGGAGAAAATCTATCTTTCCTTTTAGAATAATATGTATTATTCAGCTGGATTTTAAAAATGTGGTAATAATAACATGTGATTTAAAATAAAAATAAACATAGAACCTAGAATTTTCTATGCCTTTATGCTAATAGCTGTCTTTTTGTTCAGTATCTTATTTTCCTGTCTTCTTTTACTTTGAGGATATCTAAGCTTTTCAAAATTATTTCTTCAGTTCTTTCCAGTTATTTCTTCATTACAGAAGTAATCTCCAAACCTAAATGTGTTCTCATGAAAATCTATATCCATAACTACATCTCTATCCAAATATTTTATTATGAATTCCTTATCTTCATATATGATTACTTCCAGTGAATCTCTATCAATAGGAAAGACTTAATGTTAATATAACATTATTCCACTCAATAAGTATAGATTGAGCTCCTGCGTGACAATTGCCCTTTTCAACACTGGGGATGTACACATTGTCTCTGATATTTTCATTGTCTATTGCTGTAAATCCACCAAAAACGTAGAGGTTGAAACAAACAAAGTAACTTATTCATGATTTTGCAATTTGGTTGTGGTTTCTAGGGATAGGTTATTTGTGCTGTATGTGTTGTCACTGGGCTGGCTCAAAACTGGATTGGAGAATCAACTTCCAAGATATCTCTCTCACATGGCTGACAAAGATACTGCTGGCTGATGGCTGGGAGCTCAGCTAGAGCTGTTGTAGGATGGCTCAGTCTTTCCTAATGTGGGACACATCACAAAGCCACTTGTATTTCCTGGCAGCATGACTAAAAGTTTATAAAATGGAGTAATCAGAAGATGCCTATCTTTTCAGTGCTAGATCTGCCATGGCATTCCATCAGTTCAGTGACATGCTATTACTTTAAGCAGTCACACACCCAGGAAGCACATTCAAGGAAGCAAAGGGAGAGGAGAGAATAAAGGAAATAAAGGAATAAAGGAAAACATCCTCAACACTTGGTAGAAAAAATGACAAACAACTCTAGGGTAAGAAATAAAAAATTAGCAGTACATTAGTTATTCATTGCTGTGTAACAATATTACCACACACTTAACAGTTTACAATACTACACATTTAGTAGCTCACAGTTCCTGTGGGTCAGGAGTCTGGGTGTGGCTTAACTGAGTCCCTTACTTTACAGTGTCTCAAAGCAGAAATCATGGTGTCAGCCAGGACACTGGATTCTCATCTGGAGGCTCAACTGGGGTAGGATCTGCATCCCCACTTACGTGGTTGCTGGCAGCATTCAGACCTTGTAGCTGTCAGTCTGGGGGTTCAGCTCCTTGCTATCTGTCAGCTGAAGGATGCTTTCTGCTCTAAAGGCCACTTACGTTCCTTGCCATTGAGGTTCCCTATTGTAATCATTTGAGTCCTGAGCCAGGAAGGTAATGAACAACTCTGGCAAGATAGGCACTATGACTTTGTGTAGCTTAATCACAAAGTTATGGACACATGAGTGCATCATGCACCCCACATGTTTTTTCTATTCTGCAAGTTAGGAGCAATTCACAGTTCCAACACACAGTTGCCTGAGGGCTTCATACAAGGGTACGAAGAGGCGGCAGGGATCATGAGGGTACCTTAAGAATACATTCACACTAAGTCAGAATTAGGTGAGGATCCCAGCATCTCAACAATCTCTTACATTTAGTGACTTTATTTTTTTGTGTGTCTAACTGAATTGAAAATGTGTCATCCTTTTTTTGACTCCTTTCTTTCTCTTCTTACCCTCTTTATCTAGTCAGTCATCATGTCCTCCTGATTATTTCTCTAGATCATAGGTTACAATTCAAAGCCACAGGGACCAGGCATAGCACATGTGTGAGTGTGGTGTCCTAACTGATGGGCCACATGGAGTGGTGGAGTCTTTCTCGTGGGGGAGTGTATGCTCTGCAAGTCCAATGCATGCTGCCATTCAGAAATAGCTCAGGGCAGATAACCTGATTATTGAAAGAGAAGCTAAACTTCTTTACTTTCATGGGAAATTGTTAAGTGTTTGTGAAACAATGTGCAGAAAATGCATCTGAAGACCAGATCTGTGTGACAGTCCACAAGTTGGTGACCTTAGATTTCAAATATCTCTCAAAGCTACTCCTTCATTGTATCTTTTATATGTTGTATTTGTAAAATGTGTATGTGTATGTGTGAAAGAAAATTATTAATTTTAAATAAGTTGTGAATATAACATAGAAGGTGGGCATGAGCTCACGTAGATAAAAATGTGTTAGCAATGTTGTATATGAAAGTCTAACATTAAGTCATATTTGAAATTATGAAATATTAGTTCTTAAATATACCATGATGTGTTGGAAAATAATATCTACCAAAAAAAGAAAGAAAATTTAAAAAGTTAGATTGCTTTATCACCTTTAAATATATGCCATCTTAATCTGATATATAGAAAATGTTAAATTGAACACTATACTGTCCTTTCTAACTTTTTCATAAATATTCCTCACACAAATCTTTCTAAAACTTCTCCAATTTGTCCTAGAGAGCACTTTAAAAACATCAAATATAATCATGTTATTTTTCTGTTTAGAATCTTCACAGGATGTTCTCTTTGTAACAGACTGTACTTATACCACCAGTCTTTATCTACATGTATTATATTTTGCAGGCTATCTGAAATTTCCCCCATATAATAGATTGGTGATTTTTTTTTACTAGTAACTTTGCTTAAAGTTCCCTTTTGTGGCCAGGCGCGATGGCCGACACCTGTAATCCCAGCACTTTGGGAGGCCGAAGCGGCTGGATCACGAGGTCAGGAGATCGAGACCATCCTGGCTAACACAGTGAAACCCCGTCTCTACTAAATATACAAAAAATTAGCCGGGCGTGGTGGCGGGTGCCTGTAGTCCCAGCTACTCAGGAGGCTGAGGCAGGAGAACGGCATGAACCTGGGAGGCAGAGCCTGCAGTGAGCTGAGATAGCGCCACTGCACTCCAGCCTGGGTGACAAAGGGAGACTCCGTCTCAAAAAAAAAAAAAAAAAAAAAAAAATTCCCTTTTGTGTTCACTTTTTCTACCTGCCAAAAGACTTTATTTTTTATTAAGTTTAACTGTTCATTCTTTTTATTAAGTCTTCCTGATTCCCCTAAAATTACTTTGATCTCTACATCTATTAAAGCATCACTGCACTGTAAAATATTGCTATCATACTAATTATAGCAATCTCTTTGCATGATTCTATATGTACTAAGTGATATAGTTTCTATATTTCTAGATTGTAAGCTACTTATGAGAAAAAACGAGTTCATGGAGTCTTTCTAAAAACTTTTATTCAAGGCGAATACTCAAAATATCTGTACAGTTTTGTTTTAATAATCACGAAGCCGTGTTTTAACTATGTTGTTCAGTGTTGCATATACACAAACACACACATATGCCTTTATGGAATACCATTAAAGCATTATAATAATTCATATGAGTTTCATATGGCAGATTTTTCATAAAAATCCCAGAAACAAACAGGAAATCAAGAGATAAAATTCTGTTCTGAACCTTTTAGAAACTAAGTAAAGTTTTTGCTTCTTGAAACCTGGGTGGCTGGATGACCTAATCCTTAGACTTAGCGTCTCACTAGTATCTTAAATAAAATAATCATATTATATATCCAATAGTTCTGCTGTGAGGATTTCATTATTATGACATAGTTGGAGCTCAAGACCATAAATAATTTTGTAGCAGCAGTACTAACTCTCTCTCTCTCTTTTTTTTTTTTTCTTGACAGAGTCTTGCTCTGTTGCCCAGGCTGGAGAGCAGTGGCGTGATCTGGGCTCACTGCAACCTCCGCCTCTCGGGTTCAAGCGATTCTCCTGCCTTAGCCTCCTGAGTAGCTGGGACTACAGGCGCCTGCCACCACACCTGGCTAATTTTTATATTTTTAGTAGAGGCAGGGTTTCGCCCTGTTGCCCAGGCTGGTCTTGAACTCATGAGCTCAGATAATCCACCCGCCTCAGCCTCCCAAAATGATGACATTACAGGCGTGAGCCACCGCACCTGGCCATAACTCTTTCTCTTGCCTATGCACATGTCAAAATGTGTTTTCCTGCATCTAAGCAACTCTTTTCCATATGAAAGGTAATTGGCTGCATATAATGATAACGTCCTCTCAGAAGGCTATTGCCTCTCAAATCTATTGCTATTCATCTCCTTCTATTGCCCCACTCTTGGGAACCTCTGGAGATTGCTGACCATAATTTCTGATATATGAGTAGAGATACTTATGTTTAAAAAGTTTTATCTTTGATAAGAATATGACTCTGGAAAAATGAGAATGATATCAACTCAATGATTAACTCTGTGACTGATAACTCATAGGGATTAATTCTATGATTTTTCATTAATTTTATTGATCTGTAAATATATTAACACAATAGTTGATAAAATATTTCACTTTAACTTATCCAACTATGTCATAATTATATAAGAGCCTCAATTAGTGGGTTTAGTTTTCGCTTATATAATATCAATTAAAAAAAAGTCACTGTGTCATTGCTGGGAAAATGTAAAAAAAAAAAGAAATAAAAAGCTAAGTTATTACATGTTTAGAATCCTACAGTTTTTTTTTTAAATTTGTGTTTGTCTAAAAGATTATAGATATTATGAAACTATACATCCCCATCACTCAAATTTGAATTAATGTGAAACTAATAGTTGAAAAATCTGATTTAAAAAACCTGTCTATTTGCAGCACTACATTAACTGGAGTTCCCTAATTGGCTTTCTCTGTCTGTGTAAGAATAACCCCCTTTTTTTCTAAGTTCAGGCTAGCATTGACCTTTTTCTCATAAAAGCAGAATTTATTCATATTAAGTTTAATTGTATAGTTAATGTTTTCATTGAGGTGCCTATTAAGCTCCTTTCTGACATTTCTAAGATCACTTAAGGTTCTGAACTTGTCATGGCAAAATGTCAACCCATCAAAGTGGCCAATTCTCCTTTATAAATGTAGTAACCCTGACTGGTTCTTCCTTTTCTTTGGTAGTTTGTCAAGCCTGTCCCATAGATCTGCTTTAGCCATTTCCCAGAAGAATTGTTCTAAGGATTTCTTATTATACACCTTGTTTGTTTTAAGATCAATGTCATGATCATATTTATCTCTTAAATTCAAAAACATAATTATTTTTTCTACCAATGCTTGAATGAATATGTATTTACAGAACAGGGTTAATCTACACTTTTTAAAAATAAAAACAGCATCTATTACAAGCAAGTGTTTATAGCAAGTCTTCTCAGATAAATATTACTTGCCACACTTCATTAACCTACCCATTAGAACTGAATAATTGAAGAACTAGGGACAGTGACTCCATCTTTATCATCCTTGAGAGCACTGGGTTTCATTAAGACATGAACTAATGGTTGAATAAGAAGAAAATCCTTGAGGCAGTTTTTGGTTGCTGCTGATATACCTTGACCTCTGGTAGTGTGTTATATTTTCTCTTACTCATATTTTCACAGGTCGAGTGTGTCATGCATATTTATCTATAGCATCAATCTTATTGATTTAGAAACAAGTAATCCATTGAACAACATAACTAGTCATCCTTGGAATAGTTCAAAAAGAATTATGTGAAATAGAAAGCACACCTTCATTCTTTAAAAATACTGTCTTCTGCAAGATAAGCAATCTAATCTAAAGCTAGATTTAGTAATATTTGGAATAGGCTGACAGGAACATTTCTGAACAATGGTGTCAGAGCAGCTCGTCCTAAAAGATACACACTGTTTACTTCTTTCTCTGACAAGTTTATATGACCTTCTAATAGCAAATTCATATCTGTCATTTAACTTTAGAATCTAACTCAATTTCTTTTGCTGTTTTCTTGAAATAATAAAATGTGTGTGTGTGTGTGTGTGTGTGTAAGGAAGTATTTTTTAAGGAAACTTCAATCTCCTGATGGACTGAGTTCTTCTTCAAGAAAGAACTTCAGTGTTCTTTAATATTTTGTAAATAGGCACAAGTACACTTGGGCTATACTTATTCAATCTGTAAAGGTATACACACACACACACACACACACACACACACACACACACAAATCCTTAAGATTTTAGGGTTTGGCCAGGAGGCAGAGCTTGCAGTGAGCTGAGATTGCACCACTGCACTCCTGCCTGGGCCACAGAGCGAGACTCCATCTCCATATATATATATATATATATAATATATATATATAATATATATATATTATATATATATATTATATATATAATATGTATATAATATATATAATATGTATATAATATATATAAAATATGTATATAAAATATATATAATATGTATATAATATATATAATATGTATATAAAATATATGTATATAAAATATATATATAATATGTATATAAAAATATATATATTTTAGGATTTGGTAACAGTGAAGTATAAATTATAGAAATAGTTGATTATTTAGCTGTATAGAAAAGCTGTAGAACAGTATCTATTTGTTAGTGTAATAACGTTCCATTTATGTGGCAAGTAATGTGACTACACATGGATATTTGCTTTTAGTAATTCCACAGTTATTTACATTTAATAATTTTACATGTTGCTAAAGCTAGGGAAGATCTTGAAAATCATGTTTAATTCCTTAAAGTATTTAAACAACCTCATATAAGGGAAGTAAAGTCACTCAGCTAGTTGTTGACAGAATTGACATTTTATTTGCTGTGTGATGTCATGCTCACATTTAAGACAGAGTGACTAAAATTTTCCAAAGTCTTTAGAATATTTGTGTCCTTATTGTTGAGTTGCTAGTCCAAGGTCAGTTGAGTTCTATGATACTAAATTTGAACTATAGCATCATTCTTCTTAGAAACAAAATTATAAACTACTTAGTCTAGACCTAACTGATTAAATATCAAGTATTACTTTGTAATGTCAACATTAATGTTCAATGTTATACAATCAAACACTGTAACAGTAACTTGGGCTTATGTTTTAGGCACTTACTATATGGATGTCCTTGGAATTATATGTCAACACTTCATCTTATAGCCTTATTTAAACAAATATTTGGACACATTTGCACATCATTACAACTGCATTTGAGTACATTGTTTCAGTACAGTCAGTTTTCCTAACTGTGCTAAGATATTTACCTAATGATGCTTTAAATCCATTTACAGCATACTTACTAAAGGAGCAGTGCATGTCCGAAGCAGATCTAAGCCTCACAGTTCTTTTGATAACGAATCACCAGTTTACTCCCAATACCAGATGAAGGCCATTATACCTGTTCCCAGATGTTCACAATAATTTAGAGGCGAGATGAGTTGTTCAATTCCCCAGGTGCCCCTGGCCAATTCACTCCTATAATTAGTGTTATAGTCCAGGGATATTTGGTATATTAAATATTAGAATTTGTTTCCTTGAAACCCAGCATTTGTTAGAAGGATGTGCAAGTCAATCAGTTTCAGATGAGCATCAAAAGCCAATTTCTATTTTCCTAAAATTCATATTATAATCTACATAATGGATGCCACCACAGTTTCTAAGAAGAAGTTATTTAAATGTACTTCTCCAGAAAATAGCACCAGCAATTTAATTGTTTGAGTGCCTATAGAACTGTAGAAAAGAAGGCATTTTCCAGCATTTGATATTAAAATGTTTATTTTTGGCATAAGAGAAAGTCACAGTAATTATTTTTTACAATTTTTAAAACAAAAAGTGGACAGTGACATGAGTTTAAGGCCGGTATAAGCCTAGAAACTAGATATTTCTATCTATATATCTACAATGGTCTGTGACAATTTAAAAACCTGCATGGCATCACAGAAGTGACATAGCTGAAAAAATTTACAAGATAACTTTTGGTGAAGGTGAGGGGAAACAGGCATGCTCAAGTATTACTGGGATAAGCACAGTTCACATAAATATAAATTTATATACTTGGAATGGCAATTTGTCAGTATACAGCAAATTTAAATTATTTGTCCTGTCAGATTTATCATCCACACGTGAACATTTATTGATTTGCTATATGCATAAGATAACTATTTACCCATTCATGTAACAAACTGCCTTTGCATTTGTTGACTGTTGATGTCTGGAAACCCACTAGAAAACCTGTTGATAAGGCAAAGCTAAGTTTATTAAATTTACTGCAATTAAGAACAACACCTTCACTGACTCTGAGCATTAGTTCAAAATGACAAATTAAGGCACAATATTTTTAGAGTTTAAAGGTCTGGGGACAGGTTGGGATTGAGGAGATGTTAAAACAATAATTTTGGATTAGTTGGAATTGTGAGGCAAAGACTTTATAGCCCCCAGTTTTTACGCAGTCAGCCCTCTGTATCTGTGGGTTATGGATCTGCAGATTCAATCAACCTTGAAGTGAAAATATTTAGAAAAGAATAAAAAATAACAATAACAATACAAAAATAAAAATAATACATATAAAACACAAAACAGTATAACAATCATTAAATATTTCCATAGCATTTACATTGTAGTTTGTATTCTAAGTAATAGAGAGATGATTTAAAATATATAGGAAGATGTGCTTAGCTTGTATGCGAATACCATGCCATTTTATATCATGGACTTGAGCATCTGTGGATTTTCGTATCCATGGGGATCCTGGAACCAATCCCTTATAGATACCAAGAGAAGACTGTGTGTGTGTGTGTATGTGTGTGAGAGTGTATATGTATATATAGTTTAGTTTGTTCACAGCTCACTTATCTTTGAGGAGCTGTAATTGCTTGAAGCAGGAAAGAGGAGGATTATGAACAAATTGTGAGCTGCGTTTCTAAACCAGTAACCCAGAGTATGCAAATTAAACCAGGAAACACAAGCTCAATACAAAAGCTTCTATAACCAGATATTTAAAAATATTCACTCATTCTGTTAAGTTACAACCATTTTAAGCATAGAAATATGAAATGTAGAATTTAATTTAAATCTATGTTTAGTGACCATTTAATTTTTTTCTTATTGTAGCATTTGTAATATTAACAAAATTAAATATTTAAATAAGACACGTATTATTACAAGCTCACTTTAATTATCTGTTTGATATTTTTGTAATAACCTGTGGAAACAATAAGAACAACATAGAATAAGAACAGTTTTAAAATTTAAATCATGAGAAATTAAAGTGAAATATGTTATCAACTAAAGGATTATTTTAACATTATATTTATATAGTGATACAATTAATGAAAAATCATAATCACTGTGAGTTAAACACTCATAGGTTAATCATGGAGTTAATATAACTCTCACTTTTTTAAGTCATCTTTTTATTGAAGATAAAATCTTAATGTTTTTAAAATAAGTATCTCTCTATACACATCAGAAATTATGATCAAGCAATCTCCAATGATTCCCAAGAATATGAAGAAGTGGAGGAGATGAATAGCAATGGATGTGAGAGGGAGTAGTCTTTGGAGAGGAAATTATCATTACATGCAGCTGATTGTGTTACATCTGGAAAAGAGGGAGCTTAGATTCAGAAACACATTTTGAAATGTGCATATGCAAGAGGAAGAGAGAATTACTACTGCTGGTACAAAAATTATGTATGGACTTGATATCATCAAGTCACATGACTATAAAGTTAGTAGTTACTAATCCGCAAAGTATAGCACTAAATAAGGATTGTCTTGGTTCACCTGGGTTGAATGAATGGCTTATAAACAACCAAAAAATATTTTTCACATTTCTGGAGGATGGAAAGTCCAAGATCTGGTTACTGGCAGATTTGATCTCTAGTGAGGACCCACTTTATGGCTCATAGATAATACCTTCTATCTGTGTTGTCACAGGGGGAAAGGGCAAGACAGCTCTCTGGGACTTCTTTTATAAGGACACTAATCTCATTCATGGGGACTCCATCCTCATGATCTAATTACCTCACGAAGTCCTCACCTCCGAATAGCATCAGACTGGTGATTAGGTTTCAACCTGTGACTTTTGTAGGGGACACAAATACTAACAGCATAGTATAGCAAATGCTTTTTTTATATTTAATAAACGAACTCTCTTTTTGACAGACAAGATATTTTCTCATGAGGGTCTCTTTTATTTTTCATGCATTATTTCTTAAAATATCTACTTTCATGGGTAAGCATGGGTGAAAAATCATGACCTAGTTTTCCACCACTACAGTCATGCATTGTTTAACAACAAAGATATGTTCTAAGAAATTTGTCCTTGGATGAGCTCATGCTTGTGCAAACATCACAGCGTGTACTTACACAAACCTAGATATTATAGCCTACCACAAGCCTACAGTATATAGTACAGCCTATTGCTCTTAGGCTACAAACTTATACAGCATTCTGCTGTACTGAATACTGTAAACAATTGTAACACAATGGTAAGAAATTGTGTATCTAAGCGTATCTAAATATAGTAAAAGGCAATAACAATATGGTATTATAATCTTATGGGACCACAATCACACACATTGTTAGTTGTTGACTGAATCATTGTTAATTAGCCTGTGATATATTTTAAATTTGTTCTGTATTAGTTAATTCTTTGACAAGAACTATAAGAGAAATTCAAAGCTCTTTCAAGAGCCTATAAGGCTCAAAACAACCTGGTTCACGATTACTCCCTGAGCCCTCACTTACTATTTCCCTCTTTGCTGCCTCCACCCCAGCTTCATTGGCCTTTATGACATTAATTCAAACATGAGCACTGCTTTTGCTTGGCTATTCCTTTTGACATTTGCTTTTCCTTCAAATTTCTAAATGGTTTCCTTTCTACCTTCTCCTTCAAATCTTTGTTCAAACATCACCTTCTCTGTGGGGCCACACTGAACAATTTTGCCCCACCCTCCACTAGCACCCACAGCTCCTTCATGCCTTTTCTCTTTTATTTTTTTATTTTTATTTTTGTAAAATTTGTCAACTTCTAACATCTCATAAAATTTACTTATTTTTTATGTTTAATGCCTTTATCCCCCTCTGCCTCCACAGGCAATAGACTGAAAGCTACGTAAGGTTAGAGATAGGTGTTTGATTGCATGGAGAACTGTGTCTTGAGCATAGCAACTACTAATTATCCTTTATGAAATAAATGAATGGAGGAGCATGCTTATAATATTTTCCATGCCATACAAGTAAAAGCGTGAAGAGCACATTTACAATTTATCTCTCAATTACTATAAAATTTTGCTCTGAAACGATAATTCCCACATTGTTTCCTCATTAGTATATTGGCGACAGAGCGAGACTCCATCTCAAAAAAATGAATATTAAATAATCACCATAATTTTTTATCAATTGTATATTTTAAATAATGGTATATTCAATTCTATGTGTAAAATATTAAATATTCTGGATTACAGTGTTATTAATTTTCCTTTATTTTTGGATTGGCAGACATTAATCCACTAATTTTTATCCTAAAAATCATGAATATTTTATCCTTTCACTTTTGTGTTTAAAAGACAATATGATTAGGTTTAAAATTTTGGGGTCACACCCTTTAAACGAAAACATGAACATCACAGTATTGAGCTGTAGAAACCTAAAGATAAATTGTTTCCCCTTTCCTAGTAACTTGTTTATTTTACCCAGGGGGTTTGCAATCTCCTTTATTTTAAATTCACTAATATCACAAAGATAAGTCCTGTGTTGACCTAAATTACTTTCTCAGTATATGGTGTGTTTTTCAATCTTCAGATGCCTATCTATTTCATCACAGTCTTAATTACTTATTTATCTGTTTCCTGTTCCATTTCTTTCTCTTCTCAACTCAATAATATTATTTATCCACACTTGGATCTCTTTTGTTTCTTATATTTATCATCTCTTTATAACTGATTTTGTCTCTTGTCCTGTCCAATTCACAAACTTTTATTTTGTGACTTAGTCAAGTTGTATTCCATTCTTCCTGAACTTTTCAGATGCATTAATAACTATGGTGTGGCTGTTGTTTCTACTGTGCCTTATTTCTACATTGTATTTTCCCATTGCTATCTTTTGACTTTATTTTCTGAGTTCTAGAACTCGATATTTAAATCTAATCTGTCTCATAGTCTCTCTTTTGTCACTTTTGTCTTTTTTTGAGATCTCTTTTATTAAACAGAGATTATGCCAACAGTATCTTTGTGATCACTATGGTCAACTATTAGTATAAACTCTTTCTTGTTTCCTGGTTGTATGTTTTTCCTGTGACATTTCCGCTTCCTGTTTCTGTAGGTAGATGCCATGATCTGATTGTTCTTTGGGAGGAGCACTTTCAAATTAGAGATGGAAATAGAGAAAAATAAAAGAACAGTTGGAGTCTTCAACTTCAGTTGTGGTTTGTTGCTGAATAGGCTGTCATTACTATAGCATTATCATTTTATTTCTGAAGCAGGCTTTAGAATAATCCTAACCTGGGCACTGCTTTAAGCATTCTTTTTTGTTGTTTTTGCCAATGCCGTTCTCCTTTAGGTTATTGACATTTGTTGTCTCGGTTGATTTGTGAACACATTAAAAGGGCCTTAACATTTATACAGTAAAACTTTGAATTTCAAATAATCTAAGTATAAGAGAGAAGAGAAACAAAGAGAAACCTGATCTTGACTGAGGATGTAACCAAAGAGACTTTCAGATTGGAAGAGAATGAGCTGTCAGAGGTTTTGAATGGCCAAATATTCATACGGTAGAGAAAAAAATGATAAACTCCAAGGCCAAGTTACATAAAATTATAGAGAAATGAGAAAGGTACAATGTTATATTCAGGTGTTTTTGCCTGTACAATTTACAGCCTTGTACTTTCACATTTCCTCTTATTTTTCGTCATTCAACTGTGGAGTTGCACCTAACAGAGACCTTAAACCTAAGAAGTTGCTGGGATTCACTGTCTCTCTCTGCTTCCCTCATTCTATCCCCGAATGCTCCTTTGGCCAAGACCCAGGGCTGTGGACAATTAAAATAGCATGTCAGCATGTTTTCCCTTCTGCTCCTTTCCTCCGCTACTTCTTGGTAATAACCGACTTTTTCTGTAGGGATATCCCCACTCCTCCAGACCTACTCATGTTTCGAGGCTGCATTGCTCTAAAGAAGGTGGCCATAGAAAGCCCATCAAGAAATGAGACTCTGGGTTATCTGGTTTATCCTAGACAGAACTAGGAGCTTAGATTTTCTCCCCAGGTTGGGTACTGACTTGTTAACATTTCTTCAAAATGTTCTTCTTTTGAAGGCATTCTTCAAAAGTGTGGTTGGAAATTATGGCCAATTTCTTTTTTCATGAGAAAACAGTTATTTTCTTTTTTTCAATGTGCTTATACTTTTTCAGACAGTTTTGAGATAGAAAAATAAGAAAAAATATGTATATTGTCATCTTGAAACGAAAATTCCTGTACAGTCATGTAAGGTCCTCTTCCCACATTTTTTATCTACTTTCTCACAACCTCCCTCTTGAAGTTTACATTTTATTAGGACTTTGAACACTCCCTGCAGACATTACTGCTTCTTCTCTTATCCCTCTCTGCCTTTATCCTCTTCCTTTGTACTTCTAATATCTACACTCAGTTTGCAGTATTTAAAATTTTATATTATGATTTTTTTATTTTCATTTTGGAGTCTATTCCACTCTCTTCAATTTGGGAACTATTTAGAGTATTTGTCTATCTCTAAGAAAACTACGTTGTTTGAGTAAAATAGTAGCATAACTAGTTTCCAGTCTGTTTGTTTGTTTTTATTTGTTTGCTTGTTTGTTTTTAGTATAGATGGGGGTTAACCATGTTGGCCAGGCTGGTCTTAAACTCCTGAACTCAAGTAAAACTAATCCACCCACCTTGATCTCCCAAAGTGCTGGGATTACAGGCGTGAGCCACTGCACAAGGCTGGTTTTTTTTTTGCTGTTTTTGTTTTTGTTTTTGTTTTCTTAACAGAGGGTTTTTCTCATGTGGGAGACTGAGTATGGAAATGGACAATAGTCAGACCCGATGTAACACCAGAAGCTTGACCTATAACTTCTGAGCAAGGAGTCCACACACTTTGCATCCACCCATCCTGGCAAACCAAACCATCAACTCTAAGGCAATTTACCCAAAACAATGAGGACTTGATCAATGACTGCCTGATCCCCATTTCTTCCCATGCTTTCACACAGGACCAACAAAAGAGGAAAAAACATGCTCCCAAATGAATTATATAAGATGCCCAGTTCTGTTAGCTGCCCCCAGAATTCCCTTGCCACCTTTGATTCAGAGCATATTTGAAGTTTTCCCTGTTGTCACTCTAAAGCTCTCCAGCACCCCACCTGCCTTGGGGTCTGCCTTATGCAAATGATGGTAGCTGACTCCCTTCCTATAGCAAGCTCTGAATAAATAGCCTGTGCTTGTTCTCATTTGAGTGGCCTTTGTTTATTTCCACAAATAGACAACAGAAACAATAAAAAATAAAACAAAAAATTCTTTGCTTTTTTTTTTTTTTTTTTTTTTTTTTTTTAATTTTCTGAAACAGAGTCTTGCCCTGTCACCCAGGCTGGAGTGCAGTTGCATGATCTCGGCTCACTGCAACCTCCGCCTCCCAGGCTCAAGCAATTCTCCTGCCTCAGCCTCCTGAGTAGCTGGAACTACAGGCAAGTGTCACCATGCTGGCTAGTTTTTTGTATTTTTAGTAGAGAAGGGACATCACCATGTTGGCCAGGCTGGTCACAAACTCCTAACCTCAGGTGATCTGTCCGCCTAGGCCTCCTAGAGTGCTGGGATTACAGGCATGAGCCACAACCCCGGGCCAAAAACATATTTCATAAAGTTTTTTGACATTGAAGTATTTCCATAGTGCATGACACAAATAATCCTGTTTTTAACTCTTTATCATCTACTAGAGTCTGTTTCAAGTTTTCTTGATCAGATGTTGGCTTATCTTCTTAGGGACTGTCATTAAATATCTATTCTTTTCCAGGTTTAGTCTTCTAAATAAATATATTATGCTAAGCAATGAGTGCAGCGATTCATCAAGGCATGTGTGTGTTATCAAAATATCTCTGCAAAACATCTGAAAGAAATCTGGGGGCAAAAATATATAATGTATTTTAAAACACAATTTAGCATTCTTTTATATACAGTATTCTAATATGAGTATGTGTCAATTGTGTAATTATAAGTACATGAAATATCTTAAATATGTCTCAAACTTTCTTTTTCTTATTATACCATTTACTTATTTACACAGAGCTTTGCCAAGAACAACCTTTCCTGTCAAGTTGAAAGACAAAGTTACTTCCACATAAATCTAAAAATGAACTTTACCAACGATATTTCATATGTATAACATTTGAAATGAAGAACTGTATTTTCATGTGCACTCTTGATTTTAGTATTCCTTTTAACATTTCCACAACTTTACTAGGGAAAGTTCAAAAAATATAAAATGCTTTGGTTGAAAAATATGTTATTTTAAATTATAATTGTTAAATGAAAGAAATAACTGCAAATTTAGTATTCTAACCTTGTCTATATTCAGCCAATTTTCATTTTTTTTCCTAAAGAAAGTCAGGTGATGCTGAAAACCAAAGAAATTTATAACCAAATAATCACTTATAAGGGGTTTTTGGAAAGTATATTATAGTGTAGCAAATGCCCCTATATTTTATTACAGTTTTATTCTGGCAAAAAAAAAATCAATGTTACTACTTAACATGACTGATGAGATTATACCCCAAAAGGGAGGTACAGTATGGCCCTCAGAATACGTAAATAATTTGTTTATCAAAATTATTAAGTAAACCTACTGAATTTTTCTAGGCAGCAGAAAGAAATACAATCTGTAAGTAAGATGAAAATAATACACAAATCCTGTATTATATTGAATAAAATAAAACATATTATTAAAAGTAAAAATTAAATTAGAAAAAATAGGTAGAATAGTAAACATTATGAAAACTGAATTCCAATGTTTAAGAAAAGGCCCATAATTTAATTGTTACAGAGAAGGTTCCCTGTGATGGTTAAATTTATGTGTCATTGTGGCTAGGCAGTAGTGTCCAGATATTTGGTCAAACATAATTCTGAATGTTTTTGCGAAAGTGTTTTTGGATGATATTTACATTTATATCAGCAGACCTTGAGGAAAGCAGATTGGCCTCTATAATTGTAGGTGGGCCTCATCCAATCAGTTGAGGGCCTGAATACTACAAAATCCTGATCTCCTTGAGCAAGCGGAAATTCTGCCGCTGATGCTCTTTGGACTTGTCCTACAACACTGGTTGCTTCCTGAGTCTCCAGCCAGACAACCTTCAGACCTAGACAATAACTTTGGCTCTTTCCTTGGTCTCCACCTGCCAGCTCATCTGGCAGATTTTGGACTGGCCATCCTTTATAATCACATGAGCTAATTCCTTTATATAAATCACATTCCCATGCAAATACATCCTATTGGTTCTAGAGAACCTGTTGGAGGACCCAGACTTATATATTTCCCCTCTTTAAAAATTTCCTGTTTTACAGTTAAGAATTACTAAACTTACGATCATTACCTGGTTTTCTTGTGGAAATATCAATTGGTAGCTTAACTCAGGAATTTAATACATGGAGAATGGTGAACATTTTAGACTATACTCAAGTTTCTAAATTCTTTTTAATAATAATAATAATAATAATAATAAACCAAATACTATACCTAAACATCATAGGGAGAAAAATTTAGACATATTTTAGAATGTTAATTCTTTGTAGGATGCTAATTTGTAAAAATATTTAAAAACTAAAAATATAATGTATGCTTTTAGTTTAAATTAAAATTGCATATGTATTTAAACTTATAATTGTTCCATGAAAATAAATGTCACTTTGAAGTGCTTATACAATTTTTGAAAGGATCTACTTACTTTCCATTAAATGGACTTAAAATGTTAAGGATACCCCCATCATTTAATGTTTTGTATTCCTCAAATTATTTTTAGTGGGAAGGTAATTATGAGAAGAGCTAAAATTTGAGTTTTCAATATGTACAAGGTATTAAGCTGTATCTTTTTCATGTTCTCATTTATTTACATGAACCTTAGGAGGTTAGAATGGTTGAATGATTTTAGAGATATGGAAAATTGCATCATAAAGAATAAAATAATTTGCCCAAATCCAAGTGGCCACTGAACTGCGTATTCAGAACTTGACCTCAAACTCCAGGCTGTTCATCACTAAGTGAATTGCAGCCTCTATCTATGTACTTACTTACCCTCCTCTTGAACAAATGTGGGTTTATTTTCAACTTATCTATAATAGTCTTTTTCTGTCTAGTCAGAGTGTAAGGTATTTTTATTATCATATTTACATTTCCTCTTTATCTTCATAATTTGATCACTCACCTAATGAAGCCTTCTAATAGAACTTTGATTGTTTAGTATGAAGTTTCCCAACTTTTTATATTAAAGATAATTAATAAGGGAGGTAGGCATGTAATTAGAGTCAGGAGAACTAAACCCCAGCATTGTCTCATTCTATTATCTAGAAAGTTGTATAGTCTCATTGGCTATTGATATTAGAAAAAAGGAAAGGATAAAATTCACTGCCACTAAGTTCTATGAACATTTTACAGTCTCTAAAAATGACACACTATAATGTTTGCCATAAATCTGTAAAGCCTTTTGATCATAAAAATGGCCCCAGGGCCCGAATGCATGGTGGGAGTACAAGCTATTATTTATCAAAATGCCATTGGTCTATCATTCTTTAGCGAGTAGCAATGATTATTTATTAATTAGTATTATTAATAATATTAACAATTATATTATTATAGCAATTTTATCTATAGAATATTCAATTAATGATTTATTATATTTATTATTTAAAACCCTATCAGATAAGATGGAGCATATGGAAAAATCTTTCTAGTTTGTATATGTAAATAAAAATCTAGTGTTTTCTTTAGACATTTTAGTAAAGTTGAATCTATTAGATAAGAACATGAATATTAAAATAAAAACCTGAACCATATAAGCATTAAAAAAAGCTTGAATAAAAGTAAACATTGTTATTCCCTACAGTAACCATGGTTATTTTATATTTCATTTTGTCAGCTACAGAACTTCAATGTTTGAAAACAATTGCCATGAAATTTCAACCCAGAGCTGCAGGACGTCAATTAATTTTGAAAAAGATTATGATTTTCTTTAACCTAAGGCATAATTGGAAGTAAAAATGTAAGAAACAGAAGAATCTGGAAAAAAACTTTTTTATCTTGAACTGTAATAGGATGAATATTTAAATATATTACAAACTTACTGTGAATTACATAAATCAGTTATTTAATAAACAGGTCACATAATTTTAGCAACTCCACTTGGAACTTTTTCACAAGATCATTTTTTACAAAGAAAAAAGTATGAAGGATATAATTATCCATCTAAAAGTTTTAAACAATAATCATTATTTGCTAGTGTTTGGAAGTTACATAGTTCATTATCAAAATATTCAATAATCATTGCTAGCCTTATGATTGGGACCAATTTACCCACATGTATAATCTTTTATCAGCTTAAAAATACATGTAGTATTATTGTCTGGTATCATTTGTTTGCCATCCAGAGTGGATATGCTCTAAACATTAGCTTAAAATTGTGAGAGGGGAGTGGAGAGATCTGTTTTCTTTGTCATATCTAAATCTCAAGGAGAACAGCTTGTGTTTACAAAATCAAAATTTAAAAATAGCTGGTATAGTGAATGATACATATAGAAGCATAGAGGTCTCAGCAAGTTTCCTGGATGTATGTAATAGAGATATGAAAATAGATTTTTGAGGGTTATGTTGATTAAATGAGCAGGTAAAGTGGAAGCTGCTTCCATCTTAACTACATCTGAGGAATATGGAGTCTGTATTCGGTAACTGTATTCTCCCCACTAAAGAGGTAATGTTGAGATATACATGTATGAAAAGCAGTTTGTCACCACAATTAATATATGAAAATTAAAACCGCAGGTTCTTTGTTGCATTATTTTGGCATATAGTTGGCACTTAATAAATATTTTCTATGACAACAAATATTTTCTATCTCTAAGGTCTTAGGTTTACATAAATGTGGCTTTTCATTTAGAAATTAAGAACTGCTAGTTTTATTATTCCTCCTTCAAGGAATTTTATTGATAAACAATTGTATGTGTGTGTATATATATATATATATATATATATATAAAACACTACCCCTCCAACCAAAAAGAGCATATGAATTTCCTACATTATCGTTACCAAGGCAACGACCACTACAAAGCAATGACATATTTATGTAAGTTTTAAATCCAACATAGACATTGTTTGTTTTAAGTAGTTTTGGGAAGAGATCATTTTAATGGATGGAAACAACATCAAATTTTACCTTATGTGCTTTTTATACTATCCTTTGTCCTAAATTCTGAAAGCTCCCTTTATGAAGATTCAAGGAATCCACATCCCCTGCATGACACACCACACTGAGCTCAGTGAAAGACTGACTCACCTTGTCAGAAGAAATGTCTTAAAAGGGTACGTGAAAATCCTTCAACTGTTTCTTTTTAAAGCATTTTTAACTTGATTGTACTTTTGCATATGTGTATGTATGGACCTAGGTGAAATACAATTACAGGCTGCAAAATTACAAGTGATGCATATGTATTTAAAATATTTTTAATTATGATCAAACCTTTAGATTTCCAATTATATATTTTATAACATGAGGATATTTCTTTTGAAATTGCACTAAATTGTTGAAATTTGAAAAGGATAAAAAGAATCTTCCCAGGAGCAAAATATATGACATTTTCAGAACTGCAAGAAAGAAATGGCATCCATGGAAATGACAGGCAGGACAGCCAATCAGCCACTGAGAGATGGGCCATCGCTAAAAGCAACTCCAAATTCACTGAACAGCTGGAGGAGACTTCCACAGTGTCTCATGTTCAGGTTTTACATTAGGATCTCGAATTGTGGTTGAGGAAATCTAAGAAAATTAAACATGGCTAATTTATCTTCGTGATATTAAAATCTGGAATATTGTCATGGAGATGTGATTTAAAATACTGTGTACTATTTAATAATACTATTAAATAGTATATATAGCATATATATATATATGCATGCTATTTATTGTTTCATGTTCATAATTACCTAACAAATTTGTGGCAGTTAATAATGAAAATGTTTTCAAATTATCCTTAGGATATGCACTTCCCATTTCCAGATTTTGAAATAAAATAAGGAATTTATATACTTTGGCTGTATAGTGATATTTAAGATATAGCAAACCCCCAAATGTGGAAATTTGATATTTTATGAACATATAATAAGTTGTACCTGAAATAGATAGATATATGTATATACATATATTTTGTATTTATTTTCCAAAATAATTAAATTTCTCATCACCTATACAGTAAATATATTGATGTAGCCCGATTATATTTTTCTCTGATTAAAAGTAAATCCTGAAACCTATATATATATAGGTTTATACATATATAGGTTTATATATATATATAGGTTTATACATATATAGGTTTATATATATGTATCTCCATATATATATGGATAAAACATTTTTAGATGAGTGGGGATTCAGCATAGGAAACAGAAAATGCTGGGATTTTCATTTATGTTAAGAATGGATTAACAGAAAATTAGATCCCTTAACGTCACTGGAAGGGTTAGAGGTGAGGACCTAGAGCCAGTACCATGGGAAACTTTGTTTCAAGAACCTGCAACCACAGTGTTGAACTAGAGATCCAGAAAACACTGCAGGCTTTGCAGCCAGTGCTGCTGCTGCCACAGCTGTCATACACTCACAACTGTAACGCAGTCAGGGGAACATGAGTCCTGGCTCTGCAGATGCTCCTGTCAGCTGTAACCTATCCCTAGGCCACAACCACTGCCGGAAGGCAGCATCTTCTGCCTCCCTGTCGCCACTGCAGTTTTCATGTTGAGACATCCCAGCAACAAAAACCATATCTGGTTTAAATCTGAGTATAGAACTTAGGCAATAGTTTTCCAGCCCCTTAGCTACAAAAGTTAACATAAAAGAAATAGAAAATTTTGACAAATTTTAGTAGATAACATACAGTACCATTCATCTCTTTACTATTTAATTTCAATGGAGTACACACAACACACACACACATACACACACACACATATATGTATATATATATATATATACAAAAATAGCAACAGGTAAAACAACTTGCTCCTGTTGAATGTAATGAAGTCTTCCTCATGTTAATAAAAACATGCTTATGACTCATCAAAAAAAAGGGATCCAAAATTCATCAGTTCAGCTCCCAGGTCTGGGTTACAGCTAATCTTATTTTGGTTTGGTCACAATAAAACTTTAATAATCAGAAATTTGAGCTCTAAATCATAAAGATGATCATCACCTACACATGCCTATGAAATAAGAGAAACAAGATAGAGTAAAATGTATATAATATAAATGCTAGCATATACATAATATGTATTATATTTATTGTTGCATATATTGAGTGAAACATGCAATCTCTATAGGCTTTGTTTCAGTCATTATTTGTAAGACCAGAGTTGATCTTTACATATTGCAATATACCATGTTCCTTTTGCTCTTAGATATCGCTTACTCTTTTCAATATTTTCGACTTAATGAAATGACTCAAAACTTCAATTTTGAAGTCCTTGCTAGTCTAATATACTTAGGGCTTATCTAGTCTTCCATTCACATTTACAATTAGAACTGGGGTTTTAAGAAGGCACCAGCACATCCTATGGATTGCAGAAAAGTTCTTCTCTATATCCACGCTGGTACAGCAACTCTTTTAACCCTTCATAATCGGGATCATCCAGCCAAATAACAAGCCCCTTCTTTATCTGTTAGTTTCAGTTGCAAAAGGAAGCCCACATGACCCCATGGAGCCTATTCCATCACTTCTTTTGCTTAATACTCTTCTATATTTGTTTACAATATACCCAACTTCAAAATAGCCTGGTTTAAATATTATGCTCATATACATCATATATGTGCTATGAAATTGCTACTTCATTTGTTATGTTAACTATGACATGTTTTTCCTACAAGATATCCCATTTTTGTTGCCAAAATGTACCCTCAGGTTACTCGCTGAAAGCATAAAGATGCACTTATAGAGGAAGCAAAACACTTTTTTTCACCCATGAGCCTGAAAATCTTACTAAATTCAGTATTACTTACCTCAGATTGTTTCTGAAGATAGATTTTGATGGAAGAATTGAGACATTATATGAAAAAATTAAAAGGCTAAATTAATTTGAAATAGAGGAAATTTATTAGATGAACTTTATCTTTTCTGCACAGCCATATACACATATGAGCACTTATATTTATAATGCACAAAAACTGTATACACACAATTAACATATTTAGTTTTTATCATCCTTCCACAAGTATATGTTCTTGTCCATATTGGGGCTTAAGCCATGCCCATTGTCATATTCAGGATAGATAAATGGTGTCCTGTCCCTTTTGTTAGAAGTGTGTTAGTTCTTTGAATGACCAATAAACATTACACACATGTCATCTTCAATGGAAAGCCTACAGTATAACTCAAGCCATTAGTCAGTCTTAGAACACTGGTATAGTTGTAGTGTCAGAATGACAAGAGGCGTATCAGAAGAGAGAAATTAACAGCTAAAGTCACAAAGTCCCTGTGGTTTGAAATAAAGACTAGAATGAGACAAGCCAGATACTGCTAACACAGGGGTGAAAGCACTAGTTTTCTTCTAACTGCTCCACTTATTTTCCAGTGGATTGTTGTCATATGTCTGAATCATACATTAGCAACAGTCTACCATTGACAACATTCAAACATATCATTATTTCAAAAGTTTAGTATTCACTTTTTTTATCAATCACCTCAAGAATATATCATTTCTTTGTGTTATAAACAATCCAAATATACTCTTTTAGTTGTTTCAAAATGTATGATAAAATATCATTGACTGTAGTCACCCCATTGTGCTATTGAACACTAGATCTTACTCATTCTATCTAGCTATATTTTTGAACCCATTAATTATCCCGCCACTACCCTTCCCAGCCTCTGGTAACCATCGTTCTACTCTCTATCTCCATGAGTTCAATTGTTTTAATATTTAGCCCCCACAAATAATTGAGAACATCTGGAACTTTTCTTTTTATGTCAGTTTGTCTTTTTGTGCCTTTTATTTCACTTAACATAAGGACCTCCAATTCCATCCATGTTGTTGTAAATGACAGGTCATCATTCTTTGTTATGGCCAAATAATAACTCCATTATGTATATGTAGCATATTTTCTTTATCCATTCATCTGTTGTTGGACACATAGGCTGCCTTCAAATCTTGGCTATGGTGAATAGTGCTGCAATAAACATGGGAGGGCAGATATCCTTTCCATATACTGATTTTCTTTGTTTTGGTTATATACCTAGCAATGAGATTACTGGATCATATAGTAGCTCTATTTTTAGATTCTTTGAAGAGCCTCTAAAATGTTCTCCATAGTGGTTGTACTAACTCACATTCCCACCAACAGTGTACAAAGATTCTCTTTTCTCCACATCCTTGCCAGCATCTATTATTGCCTGTCTTTTGGATAAAACCCATTTTAACTGAGGTGATAAGATATCACATTGCAGTTTTAATTTGCATTTTTCTGATGATCAGTGATTTGGGCACCTTTTTATATATCTGCTGGACATTTGTAGGTCTTCTTTTGAGAAATTTCTATTCAGACCTTTTGCCCATTTTTATTCAGATTCTTAGATTTGTTCCTATAGAGTTGTTTATTCTTATATATTCTTGTTATTAATCCTTTGTCAGATGGATAGTTTGCAAGTATTTTCTCTCATTCTGTGGATTGTCTCTTCACTTTGTTTGTTGTTCCATTTTTAGTGCAGAAGATTTTTAACTTGATGTGATTTCATATGTCCATTTTTGCTTTTGTTGCCTATGCTTGTGGGGTATTTCTCAATAATTCTTTGCCCAGACCAGTGTTCTACAGAGTTTCCCCAAGGTTGTCTTTTACTAGTTTCATAGTTTGAGGTCTTAGATTTAAGTGTTTTTAATCCATTCTGATTGAACTGATCTATATGGCAAGAGATGGAAATCTATTTTCATTTTTCTGCATGTGGATATCTAGTTTTTCCAGCACCATTTATTGATGTGTGTGTCCTTTTCCCAATGTATGTTTTTTTTTTTTGGCAACTTTCTTGAAAATCAGTTCACTGTACAGGTATGAATTTATATCTAGGTTCTCTATTCTGATTCATTGATTTATGTGTCTTTTCTTTTAATGCCAGTACCATGCTGTTTTGGTTATTATAACTTTATAGTATAATTTGAAGTCATCCAAAGTGATTCTTCCAATTTTGTTCATTTTGCTCAGGTTAACATTGGCTATTCTGAGTCTTTGGTAGTTTCATAGAAATTTTAGGATTATTTTCTCTATTTCTGTGAAACGCATTATTGTTATTTTGGTAGGAATTGCATTGAATCTGTTTATTGCTTTGCATAGCATGGAAATTTTAACAACATTGATTCTTCCAATTCAAAAATATGGAATATCTTTTTCTTTTTTGGTGTCCTCTTCAATTTCTGGCATCAATGTTTTGTAGTTTTTATTTTAAATATCTCTCACTTATTTGGTTAAGTTTTTTCCTAGGTATTTTATCTTATTTGTAACTATTGTTAATGGGGTTACTTTATAGATTTCTTTTTCAGATTGTTCACTATTGACACATAGAAACACTATTGGTTTTTGTATGCCGATGTTACATCCTTCAACTTTACTGAATTTATCATTTCTAATAGTTTTGGTTGAAGTATTTAGGTTTTTCTAAATATAATACCACAAACAAGGATAATTTGACTCCTTTCTTTCCAAATTGGATACTATTTATTTTTTTCTCTTGTCTGATTTCTCTAGGCAGGACTTCCAGCACTGTTACTACAGTGGAATAACAGTGGTGAAAATGGGCATCCTTGTCAAGTTTTGAGATCATGCAGGAGAGGCTTTCAGTTTTCCCCCATTAAGTATAGTACTAGCTGTGGGTCTGTTGAATACGGCTTTTATTGGTTGAGGTATGTTCCTTCTATAGCCAGTTTTTTTGAGAGTTTTCATCAGGAAGAAATATTGAACTTTATCAAATGCTTTTTCAGCATCAATTTAAATTATCATATGGTTTTTGTCCTTCATTCTGATCATATGATATATCACATTGATTAATTTGTGTATGTTGAACCACACTTGAATCTCTAGAATAAATTTTGCCTGGTCATAATAAATTATCTTTTTACTGTATTGTTCAACTCAATTTGCTAGTATTTTATTGAAGATTTTTGTATATACCTTCAGCAAGAATATTGGCCTTTTTTGTATTTTTCTTTGTCTAATTTTGGTATCAGGGTATTACTGGCCTCATAGAATGAGTTTGGAAGTAATCTCTTCTTTCCTACTTTTTGTAATAGTTTGAGTAGGATTGGTATTAGTTCTTAAACTTTTGCTAAAATTCAGCAATGAAGCCATTGGTTCCCAGGCTTTTATTTGCTGGAAGACTTTTTATTATGGTTTTAATCTCATTACTTGTTAATAGTCTATTCAGGTTTTTGATTTCTTAATGGTTCAATCTTAGTAGATTATATGTGCCTAGGAATTCATTCATTTTTTCTAGATTTTTTAGTTGGTTGGCATAGAGCTGTTCATAGCAGTCTCTAATGATCTTTTGAATTTCTGCAGTTTCAATCGTAATGTCTCCTTTTCCATCTATAATTTTATTTTATTCTTCTCTCTTTTTTCTTACTCTGGTTAAAGGCTTATTGATTTTATCTTTTCAAAAAAATAAATTTTTGTTTTATTGATCTTTTATATTTTTTCAATTCAATTTCACTTATTTCTTCTCTGATATTTATTATTCCTTTTTTTCTACTAATTTTGGGTTTGGTTTGCTCTTGCTTTTGTAATTCTTTAAGCTGCATTATTAGGATTTGCATTTGAAGTTTTTCTACTGTTTTGACATAGGTGCTTATTGTTGTATACCTTCCTCTTAGTCCTACTGTCAGTGTCCCAGTGGTTTTAGCATGTTGTGTTTCAATTTTCTTTTGTTTCAAGAATTTTTAAAATTTTCTTCTTAATTACTTTTTTTGACCCACTAATCTTTTAGGAGCATGTCGTTTAATTTCCATATGTTTGTTTAGCTTCCAAAGTTCCTCTTGTTATTCATTTATAATTTATTTCCATTGTGGCCAGAGAAAATCTTTGTTATAATTTCAAAATTTTTTGAAAACTGTTACCTAACATATGGTCTATCCTTGAGAATAACCTGTGTGCTGAGGAGAAATATGTGTATTCTGTTGCTGTCGAACGACATTTTCTCCAAATACCTATTAGGTCCATTTTTTCTATAGTGCTGATTAAGTGTGATATGTTTTTGTTGATTTTCTGTCTGGATGGTCAATCCTATTGCTAAAAATGGAGTGTTGAAGTCTGCAGCTATCTCTCTTTTAGCTTTAATAATATTTGCTTTATGTATCTGAGTCCTCGGATTTTGACTGCATATGTATTTACAATTCCTATGTCCTTTTGCTGAATTGAGCTCTTTATCATAATATAATGATCTGCTTTGTCTCTTTTTATGTTTTTTTTTTTTGGCTTAAAAAGTTGTCTGAATTAGCTACTCCTCCATTTTTTCTTTCATTTGCATGGAATATCTGTTTTCAGCCCTTTATTTTCAGTCTATGTGTGTCTTTATAGGTGAACTGTGTTGAAGGCAACAGATACTGGGTCTTGCTTTTTTTTTCCTGGCAGCCACTCTATATCTTTTGACTGGAGAATTTTGTCCATTTACATCCAATGCTATTATTAAGTGAAGGCTTCACCTTGCTATTTTGTTATTTGTTTCCATTTTTTGTGGTCTTCTTTCCTTTACATCCAAATTTTTGTGAATATGATTTTCTTCAATGGTATGTTTCAATTTCTCACTTTTTATTTTTTGTTTATGTGTGGCAGTGGCAGTTCTTTTTGATTTGAGGTTACCATGAGGTTTGCAAATAACATATTGTAACCCATTTTTTTAAATCTGATGAAAAAGTAATGCTGATTGAAAAAACAAATAAAATTACAAGCGAGCAAAAACTAATAAAAACTCTATACTTTGGTCAGGTGCAGTAATTCCAGCACTTTTGGAGGCTGAGGAGGGCAGATTGCTTGAGGTCAGGAGTCCAAGACCAGCCTGGCCAATATGGTGAAACCCTGTCTCTACTAATACAAAACTTAGCCAAGTGTGGTGGCACATACCTGTAATCCCAGCTACTTGGGAGGCAAAAGCATGAGAATTGCTTGAACCTGGGAGGCACAGGCTGCAGTGAGCTAGGATCACCCCATTGCACTCCAGCCTGGGCAACAGAGTGAGACTGTCTCAAAAAACAAAAACAAAAACAAAAAGACTCTACACTTTAGCATAATTCCTCCTTATTGAACTATTTGTTACTATTATTATCTTGTTATACTGTCTATGTCTTGAAAAGTTGTTGTAGTCATTATTTTTGATTAATTCATCTTTTAATCTTTCTACTCAAGTTATCAGTAATTTACATACCACATTTTCAGTGTTATAATTTTCTGTATTTGTCTGTGTACTTACTATTGCCAGTGTGATTTTTACCTTCAAATACTTTCTTATTGCTCATAAATATTATTTTATTTCAGACTGAGAAACTCCCTTTGGCATTTCTTATAGCACAGATCTCGTGTTGATGACATCCATTAGCTTTCATTTGTCTGATAAAGTCTTTATTTCTCTTTCATGTCTGAAGGATATTTTTGCTGAATATATTATTCTACGATAAAATTTATTTATCTCAGCACCACATATATGTCATGCCACTCTCTCCTTCCCTGTAAGGTTTTTATTGAAAAGTCTGCTGCCAGACACATGAGATCTTCTTTGTATGTTTTTTCTTCCTTTTCTCTTGCTGCTTTTAGGTTACTTTCTTTATCATGACCTTTGATTATTTAATACCTTAGAGTAGTTTTATTTGGGTTAAATATACTTGGTGCTCTGGAACCCTCCTATACTTGAATATTGATAACTTTCTCTAGATTTGAAAATTTCTTTGTTACTATTCCTCTGAATAAACTTTCTACCCCCGTCTCTCTCTCTCTACCTCATCAGGCCAATAAGGCCAATAATTTTAAGGCCAATAACTCCTAGATTTGCCCTGTTAAGACTATTTTCTAGATCTTGTAGTCATGCTTCATTCTTTTTTATTCTTTCTTCCTTTTGTCTCCTCTGTGTATTTTCAAATAGCCTGTTTATAAGTTCACTGATTCTTCTGCTTGATCAATTCTGCCAGTAAGAGACTCTGATGCATTCTGCAGTATGTCAACTAAGTTTTTCATTTAAAAAATGTCTGCATAATTGTTAAAAATTAATTAAATCTCTTTGTAAATTTGTCTGACAGTATTCTGAATTGTTTCTGTGCTATCCTGAATTTCATCAAGCTTTCTCAAAACAGCACTTTTGAATCCCCTGTCAGAAATTTCATATATCTCTGTCACTCTGGAATTGGTCACTGGTACCTTAGTTACTTCTTTTGGTAAGGACATATTTTCCTGTATGTTCTTGATGCACATGGATGTTTGTCAATGTTAGGGCATTGAATAGTTACCTATTTGTTTTAGGCTTTGTGGCCTGGGTTTGCTTGTATCTATCTTTCTTAGGAAGGTTTTCCAAGTATTCAAAAAGCATCGAGTGTTGTTGATCTAAGTTTTTGGTCAATGCAGCCATATATGGTTTGGGGAGCACTCCAAACCCAGTACTGCTGTGACTCTTGCAGATGTGTAGAGATACCACTCTGGTGGTCTTGGGTGAGATCCGGAAGAATTGCCTGGATTACCAGGTAGAGAGTCTAATTTTCTTCCCACACTTTCCCTCAAACAGAATCTCTTTCTGAGCTGAGTCATCTGAGGCTGAGGGTGTGGTGACACCAGCACTTCTGTGGCCATCATCACTGGGACTGTGCTGGGTCAGACCCAAAGCCAGCATAGCATTGAATCTTACCCAAAATCCACAGTGATGACTTTCTGGCTATTGCTGATGTTCACTCAAAGCCCAAGGGCTCTTCAGTCAGTACGTGGTGAATCCAGCCAGGCTTGTGTCCTACCCTTCAGGGTGGTGAGCTCCCTTCTGACCCAGGGCTGGTTCTAGAATGCCTTCCAGGAGCCAGTGTCGAGAGTCGGGAACCTTAGGAATTGACATGGTGCTCTATTCTGTTGCTTCTGAGCTGGCACTCAAGTAAGACAAAGTCCTTCCCAGTCTTCTCTCTCCTTTCCTCATGCAGAAGGATTTTATCCCCATGACTACCATTGCTCCAGGCCCACAGCAGTTACTGCATGGCCACCTTCCATGTTCACTCAAGGCCCAAGGGCTCTTTATTCAGCTTGTGATGAATGCTGTCAGGCCTAGATCTCTGCCTTCAGGGCAGCAGACATTCCTCTGGCCCAGGGTGCGTCCAGAAATGTCATCCTGGAACCAAGGCCTTGAATTGGGGACCCCAGGAGCCAACTTTGTGCTCTCCCCCACTATGGCCAAGCTGGTGTCCCAGCTGCATCTCAATGTCTCCCTTACTCTTTCCTCTCCTTACCTCCAGCAAAAGACTCTCCTCATTGCTACCACAGCTGGGAATGTGCTGGGTCACAACTGATGCCAGCACATCCCTGGGTCTCACCCAAGTCCTGCAATGAGAACTGCCTAGATACCACCAATATTTATTTGTGACCCAAGAGCTCTTTATTGAGCAGGTGATGAATCCTTCTAGGTCTGAGTCCTTCCCATCAATGCAGCATGTTCCCTTCTTACCCAGGGTGTGTCTAGAAATATCAACTGGGATCTAGGACCTAGAATAGGGGCCTCAGGACTCTGTTCCCAACTTTACTGCAACTGAGCTGATATCCAAGTTGTAAGACAAAATTCTTCTTAATCTGTCCTCTCCTCTCCTCCAGCAGAAAGAAAGAGTCTCTCCTGAGCTGTGAGCTGTGCTGCCTGAGACTGGTGCCCCAGCTGGCGTCTCACTGGGTTGTATGCACCCCAAGTTCACTGGCACCAAGCCCAGCTCAGCACCAGGACTTTCCAAGCAATTGCAGTCCTTCTGTCCTATACTGACTGTCAAGTTATTTTGCATTCCAGATCGCTTTAGCCCATGGCGTTGGGGCTAGCTGGAACTCAGGTTCCCATCACTGGGATGGGAGAGTCCCCTCTGTCTAGGGCAAGTCTAAATGCTCCCTCCATGGGCTCTATCCGAATTCTGCCCCATGCTGCTTTTTGCTGTGACAGGGAAGCACTAAGTTACAATGCAAAGCCTCACAATCACTGTGCTCTTTCTCCTACAAACACACAGCTTCTCTGTCCACATTATGTGGCCACTGCCAGGGAATGACAGAAGAACTAAAGACTGTCTTTTCTACTGTTTTCAGTTCCCCCTTCCTTGGTATGATGTTAAAACCAGGTACTGTTATTGCCTACCTGATTTTTGGTTCTCATGAATGTCCTTTCTTGTGTGGTTGGTTGTTTAGATAGTTGAGCGTGCAGGATGACCACTGCAGCTTCTATTTGGCCATCTTGCTCTCTCTCCCTCGTGTGTGTGTGGGTGTGTGTATGTGTGTGTGTATATTTTTCTCCCTAATAGGGATATAGCTAAGTAGAAAGGAGTGATCACTTTTCCATTATCATTCCCATGGAATACTCTTCCCTGGAGATGCTAACTATATTTGCCCTCCCTCTGTAAAGCAATCCACAGAACACTGTAAGAGAAAAATACCTATAGCATCCCTAAAACTCTGTAATCTCGATGAAATTAAAAACAGCAGACACAAACGCAAGGAAAAGTAAAAGATTACTTGGTAACCTAATTTATTTTAAAAATCTCTGTTACAACATTACAGAACAAAATTAATTCAAAACCAGATTCAATAAAAAATAGATCTGAATAAAATGGTTGCCTTGTAATATAAATTATAATTGCTGAAATAAACTGTTCTTCAAATAGATACATGGTATAGACAGTACTATATTAAAATTATTTTAAATTACAAAAGAAAAACTCTCAAGCAAAAATAGAAGCTTTTAACACAGAGTAATAGTTGGAGAACTTTATAATTTCTTACATTATTATTTTAATGCATGAAACTTCAAAGAGGCAACACAAAATATTCTAAATGTGTAATACAAATGCAGAAAACTTAATTGAAATAATGAATGCCATGTCTAAAAATAATATAAAGTGCACGTAACAGGTATAATTATTGAATTAGGATTCTTTCAGTAGAAGTGAAGAAATTCAACTCAATTGGCTTTAGCAAAACTGGATAATATAATTAAGAAATTCAACTCTAAACTTGGTCCTAGAAATCACTGGAATCAATTATTCAAAAAAAGTCTTCAAGATCTGACTCATCAAATTGTTCAGTTTTTTCTTTATGTTGGTATTTTATTTTCAGGCTTTTTTTTTTTCAAATGTAATGACCATGATGGCCAGTATCGGTATATTAACTACCTTCTGTTAAATGAATAACTTCAGTGAAAATAATTCATCTCAGCAAAACTGTAGATTAGTCACTGGCCTTGCCTGGTACTATGCTTACTATGCTGAAACCTCAACCAATCATTGTGGTCAGTAGAATGCAGTTTTGAGGTCTGTTATGGATAACATCCTTACTTCTACAACCAGAATTTGAGATTTGGTGTTTATTTAAATTGCATGGATTGAAAGCAAGCTGAGAATTTTTCCCAAATGGCAGTTGAGAATTATGTCACAGAGACAGAGAGTAGTTGAGATCAATAGTTGGCACATCTTATGGTGTTCTTCTGAGAAACATTTGGTCTAGTTTTTCAGACTCCTGAAACTATTGTGACAACTTGAATGACTGCAGACACATCTAAATGTCTTCCAAGTGGTATACCTGGTCTTCAGCAATCCAAACCTTTCCATTTTTATGCAAGCCTCTAATATTCTGTATTAAGTATCTTTCTCTTTGAAATACCCAAAGCATCTTATTTTCCCCTGACTGAACCCTCTCTAATGTAATGGGCAAGAAAGAGACCTGTGTGTTAGAACAGGGGAAAACTAGTTGCAATCTTAGAGAAAATGAAAACCAATAAGAATTGTTATGTAAGTAGATGGTATAATTATTATATAAATTGACAGTATTATTTACCTAGACTGTTCAAATAAAAATATTTAAAAACTTTTAGAACTTATGATTACCACAAATATACAGACATACATACCCTGCAAAATCAATGGCTTTCCTATATGTCAAAGCTAATCAGTTGAATTTATAATAGCACAAATAAAGCTACCAACGTATGAATATTCATGATCTTATACAAATTTGATCATTTACATCTCTGCTTAATGCCTATCAATGGCTTTTGTTGCTCTTGTTATAAATACCAAAACACTTAATCTAAGAAGGCTATAATGATGTCTGTCTCTTTCTCTCCAGGGTCATTTTATTTAGTGATTTTTCTCATTTCACTGTACTGCTTAATGCCTGGAACATAAAAAAAAATCAGCAAATGCTTTTTGAATTGTACAATGAATCATGCATAAATAATGCATAAATTCTTACACAATAAAAAACTACAATATGAAAATAATTGAGACACATTTTTATTATCTTATATAAAAATTGTATATTAGAAAAATGTGCAGTCATACTGAATTATTTTAAACATTGAATTTTAGTATAATTAGAATTTTAATGGATTTTGTTATAACAAGATGAAATGATACTCAAGTTTTTTCTGGAAATAAATAAACACACATATAATCAAATACAAGAAAAATTACAATGATGGCTTCTGCTAGCTATTCAAATATACTGGGAAGTTATGCTATTTAAAGTAATGTGGTTCTGCTGTAAAAATAAGCAGACAGCACAATAAATGAAAAGAAAAAGCCAAGAAACGCACCTCTGTATAAATGTTTGAGTCTTAGAGGTTATTTGGTTGCAAATAAATGAATTCACATTCTTAGCTGAAATAAAAAGGCAGAATTTATTAGCCTAATAAAAGGATATCTTGCAGCAGCAAAGAGCAAACACTGACCCCCAATAAATGGCAAATGGTCTCAAAATCCACCAGGAGTCTCCATAGCGGCTGCCTTCTAGGACTTCCTTTCTCATCTTGTGAATTAAGGTCAATCACTATTTCTTTTTAGACATTCATTTTAGTCTTTTATTTTTCTCTGCAGGTCAACTTTTCATGTGTAGAATGGTATTTCCAACCCTATGATTTTTCTGTCTAAAATTAATCAATTTGACTATAGTCTATAAGAGCTGATTCTTAAATTCCAAGACTGAGAACTAAGTGGCCAGCATAGGCCGGGAGCAGGGTCCCATGTGTATGTTTCTTTCGGCCAGGTGAGGAGAAGGAAACTTCTGGGAACTTAGTAAGCTAGAGACAGTGACAGCTTAGAGGAAGTGATTGGAGCACCTAGTGGAAGTAGAGTCTCCAAAAATGAATAACAATTATTAATGATTGGAGCTGGATGAATGTCTTTTTGTTTGTTTGTTTTTGAGAAGGAGTCTTGCTCTGTCGCCCAGGCTGGAAAGGTGCAGTGGCGGGATCTCGGCTCACTGCAAGCTCCGCCTCCTGGGTTCACGCCACTCTCCTGCCTCAGCCTCCCGAGTAGCTGGGACTAATAAAGCTACTTGGAAATAAAATGTTAGTTTCTGATCTAACACCTCAAAGGTAAATATATTTCAGTTAGATTAAACAAATAAATGTAAAAATACTAAGAAGAACATAAAATATAATTATTTCAATCTTGTTTTTAGAATTAAGGGGAGATTTACAATTATGTGGCAAGCAAAAGGATGATATTTTTACTAGTGAACAGCATTTACAAATTCATAAGGCAAGGTTTGAGGTGGATAAGAGGGAAAAAGGGATAGCATATTTAAAAAGCAAAGAACAGATGGTAAATAATATCATGGACAATGTCTTCTCTATTGATTTTGAAAAATAAGATTATCTGATGTTAAGATGCTATTATCAAAAATAATCAAGGATTGGCAACCACAACAATAACCAAGAATAATACCTAGTTTTTGGCAAAAATATAAAAAATAAGAAATCGTGCTTTATTGTTGAAACAATTGATACATTTCAGGAGACACTTTGGGAATCTGTTTAGAAAGCCACAAAAGCATGCATACGCTGAGAAAATAATTGTAACAGGAAATACTTATCCCAAGAAAATAAGAAATTCAAGTGAAAAGAACAATATTTTAAGTACAAGAAAAATGAATTTATACATTATATATAATATAGTAAAATAGCAAAAAGAAAATCCAATGTCGAAGACAGGAAATTAGTGAAGTCATAGCGCATCCTTCCAATGTAATGTTATAAAATACACCTGAAAAAATATCTAGAAAAACTGAAAATACCCACTCAAGTATAAAAGTCCTGTCACAAAATAATACATTAAACATTATTGAAATACTATACATTATATGCAGTCAAACATAAATTCGGAAAGATGTAAGTTGAAATGTTAACAGTTTGAGTTACTGAGCACGAGTAACTTTTATTTTATTTTTGGCATTTTTTAATTTTTTGTTTTTGTTTTTTAACAAATATCTTCATTAAGTTGTATTAAGTAGAACAAAACATTAACAGCAGGAACAGCTTTTGACACTAGATAGTGCTATGTTTGAATCTCATCTTTAAAACTCATCATTTATAGAACCTTAAGAAAACTACTTAGTACATTCATGTTTATATTCCTTACTGTAAAACTGTAATATTAATGTCTACTCATAACCATTGTATGGATTATTGTATAGGTTAAATAAAGTAATGTACTGCTTATGATGCTTAAAATATATCAACTATTCAACCAATGCCATTACTACTTTTAAAATAGTATGTACCTCAGTTAAAATAAAAATACATCTAAAGGATGGTACAAATAGTAAAAACTGAAAAGCAACACACAAAACTTGTTTATGAGGGATGCATGTATTTATCAAAGATCTGGCATTGTGATGATTCCTGTTTTGTAGAATAAAATGGTACAGAGTAATATAGTACATTAATATATGGTAATAACAAGTAACTCAGGCATCGTCATTGAATCAAACATAGCACGCTGTTGAATACATACACTGCCCGTCTTTCAGTTCTGGTGATTCCCAGGCAGATGTGGTATATAACTGCCAAACATAATCATTGGCAAGTTGAATTCATGATTGTATTAACTTAAATCTTTTCATTGTGTTAATTAGTAAACTTTATTTTTTTAGAGCAGATTTAGGTTCACAACAAAATTGAATGGAAAGTACAGGGAGTTCCCACATTCCCTTTGTTTCACACATGCGAACTTCCTCCACTATGTACATCAGGCACAAGGTGGTACATTTGTTACAGTCTACGGATCTACATTGTCCCAAAGTCCATAATTAACACTAATCTCCTTTATTTAAATAATCATGAAGCTTTATAAAAATAAAGGCAATATCTCATTTGGAAAAGAATAAACTATATATGGAATACAAATAATTTAAAAACCTATTCCTAATCATTCATAATCCACTATTATTAGAAAACTTCATAAACCCAGACCTCTTGAACCTCATGTCCATGAAATTTAACATGAGACACTTCTGCTAATTATTGTCATTATTATTAAGGTCTCATAGAAGATAACACATGTCAAGTTTTCTTTATTTAAGGTTACATGAAAAAACTATTCCATAAATTAGAATTCGTTAGAAAATATGCACATATTAAAGACGGTTTGTTCATACGATATTCACAGTGGCTGGAATAACATCTGATACCTAAACTTCAATTCAGTTCAGTGAATTTATTTTGGAGCAGAGAAGCCAAGTTAGACAGACACCCAGGAGTATTGCCTGAGATATGAGAATGGAGTTAGCAAGTTTCACAGACGGAAAACTTGGTCTGACAGGCAATTAAGCTATCAATGCTTTTGCTTTTTTTTTTTTTTTTTTAGACTGAATCTCGATCTGTTGCCCAGGCTGGAGTGCTGATCTGTCGCCCAGGCTGGAGTGCTGGAGTGCAGTGGCGTGATCTTGGCTCACTGCAACCTCCGCCTCCCGGGTTCAATCTATTCTCCTGCCTCAGCATCCCGAGTAGCTGGGATTACAGGAATGTGCCACCATACCCAGCTAATTTTTTTGTATTTTTAGTAGAGACTGCGTTTCACCATATTGGCCAGGCTGGTCTTGAACTCCTGACCTTGTGATCCTCCCGCCTCGGCCTCCCAAAGTGCTGGGATTACAGGTGTGAGCCACCGTGCCCTGCCGCTTTGTAAAAACTGTAAATAAATACTCTGCTTTTTACTCAGTGAATGGGAAACCAATGTGGAATGTGAGCAGAAAAGTAACCTAATCTGATTTGTATATTAAAAAGATTACCATGATTTATGATGAATACTCTTGAAGTGGATAGTGTGGATGAAAACAGGGAAACCAGTTTAGAAGCTACTGCAATAACTCCGATGAGGTTATGATGGTGCCTTGTGATACTGTGAAATGACAACAATGAGAATGATGAGGAGAGAATGAACAAGCAGAGAAAGCAGTATTTATGAAACTGAGTTTACAGAAAGTGGAAGTGATCAACAGTGTCAAAAATACATACATTCTGAGAAGTGGCCTTGCTCTTAGCAGTGGAGCCCACATGCAACCTTACAAAAATAGATTCAATAGAGTACAGGAGAAGAATACCCACTTTAAGTTTAAGAGAGATAGAGAAGCACAGAATTGCACACAGAAAATAAAGAATGTTTATAAGCATTTCAGCAGCAATTGGGGAAACAGGAATGGTGAGGAAGCTGAAAAGAAGAGGAGCATCAAGGGAGATTATATTTCAGAAATAACAGTATGATAGGAACGATCTCGTAGAGAGGAGAAATTTGTGACATTGGAGATAGACTTAATGAATTGTCAGAGTGATGTTCTTGAGCAGGAAAGCAGCAGGTCCCTACTTGGAATAGCTTGGCGCATACAGTGCTAAGTCCGGGGGTAAGTAAGAGTTGTAATCTAGCTCATCATTATTGCTGGAACTTGTAGTGTAGCAAAAAGCTGAGTCTTGTCAAAAGGAGGAGAGACTTTTCCTTCCACAATGCTATTGCATAGAGACGGAAGCCCTGATGAGTGGGCTTTGATAACTGCACAGGGGAAGGAGTTCACCTTTAATATACTAACAGAAGTGAAGGTGATGTATGCAGGCATGGATGTGAGGGCAGGTAACGGGGCTTTATTTCTCAGCAAATTTGGAAACAAGTTCATTAACTAAAAGTGAGTATGGGGAAGAGATGCTGCACATTTCAAAAAACAGAAAAGTTACAGAATAGACATCCGGGAGAGTATGAAAGAGAAGGGAATAAAGACACGAATTACCTTAAAGATTAAAGAGGATTTAAAATGAGATCATGTAGCATGGTTGTGTGTTTTTCTCCATTCATGTCACTGCTCAGCTTCAAGACTTGATTAGTAAAAAGTCCAATTTAGAGTTATGGCTTTGTCAAGTTGGGTGAGAAAATTAAAGAAGAGTGGTGTAGTTGAGGATGTATATACGGGAGTCATTAAAACACCTTACCATGGAATGTATGCTTGATTTTGATGGAAGAGAAAAATATAAGGTTGTTGAGGGAAAGTGAAAATATTGTGAGATCAATACATGCACTTCCCAGTGGCATGAGGGCTTATCACAGTAGGGCTGCCCGAGACAGTGAACTACAAGCAAGAAGTCAGGAAGTTGAGCTGCCAGAGTATGATGCATGAAATTGAGATGGTGGAGGAGTGGCTATTAAAGGTAATAGCAGGATCTAGGTTATGACTATCAGACTGAGTGTCTGGAGGAGTTTGCAAGACAAGTCCACAGTAGTTCAGGAAACTGAGAGGCCAAAATGTGGTTAGGATGTTTGCTGTCTCTGAGAATTGAAACTATCAAAATTCTGACAGCAAAAGGGATAGTGAGGCAGGAGCTAAAAATGCCACGAATTGAGGAGAGACCTGGAGGTCAGTAAAGGATGCAGTAATGAGGGATCCTGAATGATACCACTAATAACAAGGGATTAATATTTCTGTACTGAGTGGAGAATAGACTGGAGGGAGCAATGAAGACCAGGGAGCAAAAAAACTCAGCCTACTTCCAGGCTTAGTGATAAGAGAATTATAGAAAAAATAAAATAAAACAGGCCCCAAATCCTCTACCACTTGGGAGCACTGCAGGCAAAGCAAGAAGTATCCTCAAGGAAGATCGGGGTATCCGTTACAGCAAACTTGTGAAGGGCACTTTGAGTGAAAAGGTTGAAGAAAGAGAAATTTTCTGGCAATGAAACTTCATTTCAGCACAGTATATATCCAATAGTGGCAATCTCTAGGGAATGAGGAAAGGCAGAAGCGAAGATAAAAGTTTCCTATTTTTCACTTTAATTAAATGTTTTATTTTAGAAAAAATGCTTTCTGCTCTAGTTTTTTAAACATATTGAACGTCTTTTGAATGTCAATACACACAAAAATACGAACAGAATAAATGAGTTTACCCAGAAAAACATTCCGGAGCAGTAGTGCCAATGACTTGTGATATTTATGGATTGTTCGCTATGTGCAATTCAGACTGGGTCTTGAGCAAAGTCCCTTGAAGTCTTTCTTCTCATCCTATGTTCATTCTATTTAATGCCTTTCCTTTTTGGTTTGGTGGTGATAATGATTACTGTTTGGCACTTGCTGCCTTCCTGTTGCCACCATTACCGTTACATACTGTGTTGCAAAGAGGCTAGAAAATGGTAGTGCTGAGCTGACTTCAGCCGAGGACATAGGTAGTGCAGTGAAATAATGTCTTTTTAGATCAACTGATAACTAACATTTGTGAATTCTTTGCTCAGTAATCTAGCAGAAGTTTTAATGCACCTCGATTAATGTATTTTAAATTTAGCCCTTTACCTAATATGTGTTATTATCCTGATGTGTATCCACTTTCCAGTTTTACTCTATTTTTATATGTTCCCTACTTAACACAACCGTTCAATCAATGGTTTTGCTATATAATGGCATAGTAAATTTAAGTTTCTGAATTATATGACTCATCTAACTTTGACATATTTAGTCAGTGTAAGTTTGAAAAGCCAGTATTCTATGAAATCATGGTTTTACATGGACTCTAAATTATGTTCATGAAGGTTGCTAGAAAATACTTTACAAAGGAGAAAATTTAACAGTTAATATTGGGAAATGTAGAAAAAGCTTTTGGGAAAAACTTTAGAGTGATCTTGAAAATATGTAGATATTTATCAGATTGTTTGGAATCTGTGGTATTCCAAGAGGATGGAGGAGCATATTTAACGATGAGAAAGAAAACATCATGATATACTTAGGGAAATCATTCTAAAAGAGGGAAAGATAAAAGATGAGGCAGAGATGCCGGCAGATGCCAGCGTGGCATCCTTATATGCCAACTGGAGGAATGTACTTTAAATGTATTGGCAATTAGAAAGTAAGTAGGCTGGGCGTGGCAGCTCATGCCTGTAATCCCAATGCTTTGGGAGGCCAAGGCAGGCAGATCACTTGAGGTCAGGATTTCAAGACCAGCCTGACCAACACGATGAAACCCCATCTCTATTAAAAGATACAAAAATTAGCTGGACGTCTTAGTGGGCACCTGTAATCCTAGCTACTCAGGAGGCTAAGGCAGGAGATTCACTTGAACCTGACAGACAGAGGTTGCAGTGAACAGAGATTGCACCACTGTACTCCAGCCTGGGCAACAAAGTTAGACTCTGTCTCAAAAATAATAAATAAATAAATAAATACATAAATAAATACATAAATAAAATAAAAAGTAAGTAAATAGAATAATAATAACAAAGGAATAAAAAGTAAGTAAAGAAAATAAATAAAATATTTGAAATTCAGAAATACCATTAGCCAAAAGTACGGAAAATTAAATAAGGAAATAGTAAAACTTTCAGCCATCACCGCCTTGCTTTTCTGCAAATGCCTACTATTTCTATTTCAGTAAATGGTACTAACTATAGACAGTTATTTGAGCCAGAAATTAGAAAATTATTCTCAGGTTTTTCTTTCCCTTGTCATACCACATCCATTCAGCCACTTAATTATCTATTTATTGATTCATTGATTCATTCAATAAATATGTGTTAGCTAATGTTGTTTTTGGTACAGTGGTGAAAAAGTCATTACATTAGAGTGAATGCCAAATTCATCACATAAATATTTATAAAGCCTTCTCACTTCTCTCTATCCTTATGCCATTACCATGGCTGAAACTATTGATTTGTCTCAACTGAATGACTGTCATAGCCTCTTGGCAGCTGATTTCCTGCAACAGCTCTTGCTTCTTGTTGCTTTCCATTTTATAGCCATACCCCAAAGGCTAAATCTTGAAAACTTAGTTAAGCTTATTGAACCTTCTAAAATCTAAGTGAAGGAAGCACATTTGGCCATGAAGAGAAATCTTAAACTTGAGTAAATGAGTCCTTTTTTATATATATAATTGACTATATATTAAAATTAATGACATTATAAAAATTAAGGGCAGCCTTATTTACCACTCTTTAATCTTTTAGAATCATAGGAGATGATACATACTTATATATTGAATAATATATTCACATTTAAATTGTATTTAAAAATGTTGGGACCTACTGCTACATTATACACAATGGTCATATTGAACCATATAGTTACTGCATCAAATAATCTTGTTAAACTATTTCCATTTTTCATTTATTTTGATCTACCAGTTCTTATGTTTTGAAGTCTATAAAATGTTGCCAGGCGATCTTCAATTCTGACATTATCCATTTCATATTATCCCTCTCCTTTTCCTGCAACAAGGCCATAATTTCAGAATGTTTATTGAGATATTTACTGATCATTTTATGAGGGTGATGAAAGTAGAACACATTCCTATTTCCATTAAGTAAGTGGTAAAAAACCATTAAGATCTTAAGTTTGCTAGAATGATAAGCCTTGTTTATGATCTGTCTATGTGGCAGGCATGATGGAAGAACTGAGCCAAGATGCACAAACTCTAAAAACCAAACTGCATGTCTCACATGGGATATAATCAAGGAAAAAATTATATTAAGATTAGAGTCTCTGATGACGCAACACTCCTTGCAGTGAAAATAAAACTTGTGATAATCAGATTGTCTGTCCATAGCTAGGATTAGGGAAAAGTAAAATGTAAGGTGGCTGTGACTCATACAAAGACAATTTGGTGATCAGAAGAACAGTAAATTCTCACTCATTCTTATTCAATATGTATTTATTTAAAACTATGTAAATAATTTGTTAGTTGTAAACATTATCTGAGACATAATTGTGTGATTCTAATACATAATTTATTTAGCTGCAGAGAACTGAGATTCAAACAGCACGGCAAGGCTGCAAGATTTTATTGATTTTCCGATAAAGAACTTCCCAATCTGAAATAACAATGGAAATCATGTACTGCACATTGTATTCCTATATTATATAAGTCATGGCCTAATAAGTCAGTTTACTTTCAGTAATTACAAGGAAATAATTTCCTTATCCTTGATATTCATTAGTCACTGAAAATGAAAATGGCGAGGAAACTCAAAGTACCCAATTTAGAAGATTTTTAAATGTTTATAGATTTCTAAGCATGATTAGGAAATGGGAAAGCTGCCTCCCCTTCAGAACAATCAATACAGAAATATATTAGAAATTAGAAAACTAGACTTTTCAAGGGCAGTAATTTAATTCTTCTGTATGTGTGACTGAAACCACTGCATTCTTACCTCTGTATTAGCAGATGTGGAACTACAATTACAGATTAAAAATTTAAAGAGCAGAACAAAATAGTAAATCTATTGGTCAGCACATAGTTTGTCACCTTAGTTAAGATAACAACTGATATTTTAAATTACTGCTTCAAGCTTTAGTTTTTCAAATACATTGTACTCTGCATTTTATTGTCTTACAGAGCGTTGCGATGACTGTATTTTAATTTACATTAATGCAAAACTGGAATGGAATTAAAATGTGACTCAAAGTATTACAAACCTTATAGTTTCTCAGAAAAAAGAAATTATGATCAGTATATATTTCATTCACTCAGATTGCATAAACACAACAATATCCATAATTTGAT
This sequence comes from Homo sapiens, assembly GCF_000001405.40. Classification (NCBI taxonomy): domain Eukaryota; kingdom Metazoa; phylum Chordata; class Mammalia; order Primates; family Hominidae; genus Homo; species Homo sapiens. Next base: position 20,465,673 of record NC_000005.10, on the reverse strand, counting down.
ATGTCGGTCAGCACAACAATAAATCCTTAATAATATTTCATTTAGTTGTAAGAGTCTGTTAAACTATTTCTATAAATCATACTAATTAGTAACATAATTTATTACTCCATATGTATTTCAGATATGTGTTATTTAACATACAAATTTTAAATATACCTTGATAATGTAATTGACTTTTTAAAGTAAATTTCAACTTTTTATAAGATCAGAAGTTTAAAAATATGTAATATCCTGGAACAAAATACTTTCTGTATCACTACCAATATTTAGTCTTCTGGAAGGAAAAGAAAGAATAAATTTTTGCAGTTGTTGGTTGTTTGAAAGTGTTGTTCCTGATGTTGATCATGCTGTTATTATTATTAGCAGCTGTTAGTGCTTCCCCTGAATTTTTACTGTACTCCTTACCCTTCTCTAGAATATAATGATCATCTCTTCTTCATTTTATTTTCAGTCTTCTCTTCATTGCTTACTCTTAATGTGAAACCTAGCTTCACCATCTACACTGTCTAGGCTCTCTCATGCCATCCTGTCATTTATACACTTTTAGAAAACAGAGTTGTGCTCAGTGCCTCTGCTCCTATATTTGGTCTATTCTCTCGTGTCATTTACATGTGTAGAATTGAACTATTCATTTACTACTTTACTGAAGCTGCTCTCAAATAGTCACCAATGTCCCATTAATTAACAAATCCAATGTCTTCTTTCCTATTCTCACCTTAATTATACTTTTTTTAGAATCCAATATCTGACTGTTCATGTCTGTGAGTTTTATTAACTTTTCTCCTTTTGTTCTCTGTTCTTCATCAACTTGGCAAGTTTTTCTTGTTCCTAATGCATAGTAACACAGCTATTTCCCAGGGTTTTATTTATAGCATTGTCTCCAACTTCTCTTCCTTGCCATCTCAATTGTATCTCCTTTCGGCAATCATACTGATGTTGACGAAGTTTGTTTTATCTTACCTGGGATCAGAATGGAACTTTAATACTATCAGAATTTGGAATATAGATGTCTCACAAGTACTTTAAAATGCAAGAATTTCTTAAATTTCGTATTAACATTATCCTCATAGACATCTCTTCTCTGCTCTGTAAATGACTGAGTTCCCACTATGTCTTTTTCATTTGTTTCAATATTCTATTCCATTCCCAATATCAAACTCTAGCCCTTTCACATCCTTGATAATCACCTGTAAAGATAAACAATAACAGGCAAGAGCATTTGGTACAAATTCTCAATGAACAAAATCTTACTATTTCCAAGAACTCTAATCATTGATTTATGTTCCATGGCCGCTTCTGTTGCACACACATGCATTAACACACATTCTATCAATTCACACGTACTTCCTCACTCATATGCAACTGTCATGTATTTGCAAATACATTTAATGTGCACCACTGGGATGGAATCACAGAGAAGGTGCTAGCCATTTTATTTACACTCACTTGCATACATTTGTCTCTGTTTCTTTTTTTGATTGGTTTGTCAATATCTACTTGGTCTGTTAGATACTGTTGTTGCTTATAAACTTGAGTTTTTTGTGTGTGTCAGCCTCATCAGTTAGAATATTTTTATGGAGAGGTAAGAGAAAATACAACTTAAACTGGATTAAATAGTACAAGGAAGTCACTGGCTTTCATGTATCCAAACCATTTAGAGATAAAGGCATGGTTTTTGTTCCAGAGGTTCATGATACCATCAGAATATTGCCTTGTTTCTCTGATTCACTCATATTTTCTCCCCTACCTATCAGCATGTCCTCTGGCTGGCCTTTCTTATGTAATAAGACATATTCTTAGTAGCATTCCTTCCCCTAGCTTCACTATCCAAAAGAGAGAGAACTTCTGTCCCCAAAAAATATGACCAAATTTGAAGTCTGAGTAGAACAAATAGACGGCATTCCTCACAATTCAAGTTGATTCTAGCCTTCAAAGTTCAAATCCCGTATTAACGGTTTGGCTGTGTCCCCACCTAAATCTCATATTGAATTGTAATCCCCATTGTCCTCATGTGTTGTGGGAAAGACCCTGTAGAGGTAATTGAATCATGGTGATGGTTTCCCCCATGCTGTTCTCATGAAACTGAGTGAGTTCTCACGAGATCTGATGGTTTTGTAAGTGTCTGGCATTTCTCCTGCTGGCACTCATTCTCTCTCCTACTGCCCTGTGAAGAGGTGCCTCTGCCATGATTGTACGTTTCCTGAGGCCTCCCCAGCCATGAGAAACTGTAAGTCAGTTAAACCTAATTTCTTTATAAATTACCCAGTCTCGGGTATTTCTACATAGCAGTGTGAGAACAGAGTAATACACCATACTTTGAACATACTGACAAGATACGTCTGCATCTTGTCAGTTGTCTCTTTTTTTTTTTCTTGTTTTACTAATCTCAGCCTTAACTCTACAAAGAATTCTCTCCACATAGAGAATTGCATCACAAAAGCACACAAACCACAAAAAAAGTGAGTTCAAATGTATAATGCCAGGAGTAGAGAAAAATACATCCCAATTCTGAATGAACAGTACCCATTTCCTTGTCTATTGTGTTTACAAAAAGCACAAGATCGAATCAGAATGGAATTCAATTATGAGTGAATTTTCTGGCAAAAGGCAGTGCTGCAGAAAATATTTAGCCATGTTCGAACAAAGTGATATTTTCTCAACTATGTTTTAAAAACTGCACCTGTCTTTGCAGTTTTGCTCCAGAGTATGTGAGTTTACAATAAGATGTCCTTTTAGAAATACAAAGTAGAACAATCTTTAATTTCTAAATAGAGTTTGAGGGAGAAGCAATGTAATTATAGTCCTAAGAACAATTGACATGGAGCCAGCTTACTTAGTTCAAATCTTTTCTACACACTTTTAGTTGGACAAGTCATTTGCCCTTCTTCTATCTCAGATTTCTTATCTGTGCAATATGGGTTATTATGATTTTGTGGACTGCATAAGATTATTCTAGTGATTATTAATGCAAACAAAATTCTTTAACAGCAACAGGCATATGGTATGCATTTATAACAACTATGACTTTAAAATATTTTGATATATAATATTTGTACATATATATGGGATAAAAAATGATAGTTTGATACATGCATAGAATACATAATTATCAAGTCAGGGTATTTGGGGTATCCCATCACTTTGATATTTATCATTTCTATATGTTGGGAACATTTCAAGTTCTCTGTTCTAGCTATTATGAAATATACAGTGTATTGTTGTTAACTATATTCACCCACTCAGCTATCAAACATTAGAACTTGTATCTTCCAACTGTATGTTTGTACCCTCTTCTCATCTTCCACCTCTATATACTCTTCCCAGGCTCTGGTTTCTGTCATTCTACTCCCTACTTCCACGAGATCAACTTTTTAAGCTCCCATCAATGAGAACATGCAATATTTTCCTTTCTGTGCCTGGCTTATTTCATTTAACACAGTGACTTCTGGCTCCATCCTTGTTGCAAATGACATGATTTCATTATTTTTTACAGATGCTCTTCCATTATGTATACTTGCCACATTTCCTTTATTCATTTATTCAATGATAGATTCTTAAGTTGATTCCATATGCTTGCTGTTGTAAATAATGAAATAATAAACATGGGAGGACAGATATCCCTTTGATAGGCTAATTTATTTTCCTTTGGATACATACCCAGTAGTGACATTGCTGGATTATATGGAAGTTCTATTTTTAGTGTTTTCAGAAATCTTTATACTGTTTTTCATAGTGGCTTTCCTAATTTACATTCACACCAATAGTGCATGAAAGCCCTTTTCGTTTGATACTATTGTACCTACTCTTGGGCAATACCCTAAAAGCTAGTGTTAATTGATTTACAATTGCTGAAAATTGTTGAGGGAGAAAAGGCTTTTCTAGAAATTCCAAAAGCAGGGATTGAAATCTCAAGATTAACTTAGATGACTGAGCATAAATGTATACATAGAACAGATAATTATATACTATGTTTAAGAGTCTACATAATTAGGTAATGATACATGATAGTTAATAGTCTTCCTCTTGCCCCAAAGTAAACTAGATTGTATCTAGCAAGCAGAAAGAAGAGGTTTGATAAGCATAAGAACAGTGAGAAGAGGAGAGAAAGGGGCTGAAAAGCAGCCCTCACATTAAAGACAAACCACGAAAGTGATTGCCATAATCAGGTTTGAGGGAATCTCCAAGTGTGCTTGTTATTTGCTCCCAGGGCATAGCCTCAGAAGATTATCTTTCTAGAGAATATTCCCCTCAGTTATGCCACTGGACTCTCATGGCAACTTAATTTTAGCATAGTTGTAGTTGAAGAAGATGTCTAAAGGGATACACACGGAGAAATATGGAAATCCCAAAAAATCTTAGCATGATAGAGAAACAAAGGAAATAATTTACAAGATCACCAACAGGAGTTACAGAAGGCAGACTAGGCAAGAAGAAGAACCAGAAGGGTGAAGCAACGTAGCTCCCAAGCAGGACGCTCATGCTCTGAGGAAACAAATACTCAGCACTTAAGGACTAAGTACAGCAAGCGTGTGGCTGTCAGACACCCAAGACCAAGCCTGACAGCAAAACTCAGAGGAGGTCAGGGAGAGCAGATGCTGGGCCTATTGATACCTGTATCCTTCAGGAAGACTAGCATTTCTGAGGCACTCATTTTAACCCAGAGAAAATTGAGACGTGGACTCCTCAGTGTTTGCATTTTAAATGAGATGTGATTGCTAGCTCCTGAGGATACATTTTTCACTGTTAGTTGCAGTACGAATTATGTACTCAGTTAAGTTACTCATGGCGACAAAAAGAAAGTTATACAGACAAGTTTGATAAATCTGGTTGAGATTTAGCAGACATTTGTATCGTTATTATTTTGAAATATCAAAAAACATCGAATATCACTGTATTTCATAAATACTAATATTTTGCCATATTTACAGCAGATTATTTGATACAAGAAATAAGGAGCTACAAACAGAGTTCATCCATAGCAGAATTCTATCTCTCTTTCCTCTCCTTAATGAAACTTCAAATAACTGATGTCTAAAATCTCAAATGTAGGTTTCACTGTTCAAAGATGAAATCTGACTATAAGCAAATATATATTATTTTTCATATCACCAAGGAGCAGTATCTGCCTAGAATGGTGTGCACAACCAAAATGCCAGTCACCATCATGCTCATGGGCCAGAGTTAGCTCTAGTACCTGCCCCGGATAAGATGCCTCAGTCACGCAACATATTTTATTTATTTATTTATTTATTTATTTATTTATTTATTTATTTATGTATTTAGAGATGGAGTCTCGCTCTGTCAACCAGGCGGGAGTGCAGTGGCGTGATCTCAGCTCACTGCAACCTCCACCTCCTGGGTTTAAGCGATTCTCCTGCCTCAGCCTCCCAAGTAGCTGGGACTACAGGCGCACACCACCACACCCAGCTAATTTCTGTATTCTTAGTAGAGACAGGTTTCACCACATTGGCCAGGATGGTCTCGATCTCTTGACTTCGTGATCCACCCACCTCGGCCTCCCAAAGTGCTGGGATTACAGACATGAGCCACTGCGCCCGGCCTGCCACATGTTATCTTCTAGCCTACATGCCAATCTTTCTTTCAATAGTAATATTCTACAGAATATTACATTGGTTTATTTTAAAGACCAGGGGTCTGGATGATGAAGCAAGACTGAGGTTTTCCCTGCCTCCCTTCTGGGATATAAGTGAAGGAGAGAATCTATTCAAAATACAATTACTTAAAATTCTCAAAATATTTAGCCACTGTATTAGTAAGTGAACAACCACAATATTAGCAAGTGAACAGCCCCTAATGTTGGAAATTTGTTAAAGCTGAATTAGGTAGTGTGTCTTGGAACAAGAGGAAAGGTAATTAACTCTCCTACCTCTATGCTTTTCCCACCAATCACCATGAAATGGAAAAGAGCAGGGCTGCACTCCAGAGCACTTCTGTCGGACTAGCTCAGTCACCAAACTGTTGGCACAAAGAGGAAATGAGAGGATCCATTTCTGCCTATGGAAAACATGCCCAGAGCCCATCCATATAATTATGTTCAGTACACAGAGGCAGGAAGTCTAGGGGAGGGCACTGTGGACCTTCCCCTTGTGAAATGAAGGGAAAGATGATCAAGTGTCATGGTGGGGAAATGGATAACCCTTCCGCTCAAGAAACATGTACAGTGAATTCTAGGCTCTCACAAATCAGACTTATTCCTCTCCCTTCTGTCAGAGAGCAGGGGATGCTCCCCTTTCCAGAGAAAACACAAAGACAAAAGACATGTAGGTCCCTGTAATATGGCTTTGGGAATATTTATCCAGAAATATATTACAAATACGTCACTCTCAAGGAATTGCACATCATTGTGTTATGGAAGGCCACAGGAAACATAAAAATATCTCTACTGAAAAACCTGTGGTATAGAAAAGCTGCTCACGTTTATGAAATGCCTATTCCATGCAAGCTGATCCCTTGACCAACTGGATTCCCTCCCCCAGTTTTTGGTTTCTTGTTTGTTTTGTTTTGTTTTTCTCAAAAGCATTCACCAGTCACCTACAAGTGCAAAGCACTGTGTCTGGCCTTGAAAAACAAACATATGCATACACGTGACAGGGTCCTATTATCAAGTATTTTGTTTTGTGTATCATTTCAGGCATGTGCTCAAATGTATACACTTTTTTTTAGGAAATTGGTTTTTTTAGAATAAATCTAAAGTAAAGAACTATGTGGAATATTCAGGTGTTAATATACACACGTACACATTTATGTGACTATAGGCATGCTTCTGAAAGGAAAAGACCATTATACTTCACTTTTTAAAATGTTGCACATAATAGTGAACAATGTTTGTATTAATATTTAGTGGAGTGATGTGTTACAATAGTTATTAGCAATGCTGATAACAAGCTAATAGTTATTTAAATTTTGCCTCTTCCAAATATCAAGGAGGAATTTCTTATACAAATCAAAATTAAGCTCCTGAAAGAAATGTAAAACCTTTTATAAAATAGCAATAGAATACATATGGGTTTTTTGTTGTTCTTGTTGTTGTTTTTTGAGACAAAGTCTCGCTCTGTTGCCCAGGCTGAAGTGCAGTGCTACAACCTCAGCTCACTGCAAACTCGGTCTCCTGGGTTGAAGCAATTCTCCTGCCTCAGCATCCTGAGTAGCTAGGTCTACAGGCACGTGCCACCGCGCCCAGCTAATGTTTACATTTTCACTAGAGACAGGATCTCACCATGTTGGTCAGGCTGGTCTCGAACTACCAGCCTCAGGTAATCTGCCTGCCTCAACCTCCCAAAGTGCTTGGATTAGAGGAATGAGCCACCGCACCTGGCCAGAATACATCCTTTATTAAGCATGTATTACATATATAAGTATGGTACTTCATTTCTTATTACAAAACAAACAAACTTTAAAACTGCTACAGGCAGGATTCTGAGTCGAGAATATCACTTGAGCCCAGGAGATCGAGGCTGCAGTGAGCTATGACTGTGGCCCTTCATTCCAGCCTGGACAACAGAGATATACTCTGTCTCAAAAACAAACAAACAAATAAAACAAAAAAGCAAAACAAAAGCTGCTATAGGCTATGATAGCATATGAAACACTTAATTGTTTTCCTGACCACACCAATTTCAAGATTCTTTTCCACATGTCCTCTTTATTCTCTAACAACTTGAAGATAATTTTCTTAGTCAACTGAATGGGAAGATAAGCATCACATTTCATTCTCTCTTTTACTGTCATCAGTACCAGTATCCAAATATTCCTTTTGCATTGCTTCCTGTTTTTATGCTTCCCTTCCCATTTCCCACTGCCACTGTACTAGGTAATGTCTACATGTCTTAAAGATTTAACCAAGCTTCCCCCTCCAGTTTTTTTGTCCAGCCTTGTCTTATATTCATCCTGCCTCCACATTAGTTATCTTAAGGCATTGTTTATAGTAAATTCATGATCTACTGGCTTGCTATCATACTTTTAGACTGGGAGACCTTCCAAATTCTTAGAAAAGGGCTAGTACAGGATTTCCAAGCAGCACATACTATAACCCCATGATTTTTAAAATATTTAACATCCAGCCCATCACCTCTTCTCGGAAAAAGAAGAGCATCGGGGTTCAAAGCACAGTTGTATAGCCACACTGGGTTCAGGTACACATTTGACTTGCATGGCTCTAGGTGGGTTACTTAGTTACTTTTTGTCCATTTGCTCATCTGTAAAATGAGGACATCATCGGTACCATCCACTTACAAGTTTTTGGAGAATTGAATGTGTTGAGATATGTAAGTCTGAAAGCACTCAATAAATATTAGGTATCATTTTATATCACTTGAAATTGCTTCTTTTATAAGTCAGAGGTTGAACATCAGCAATTTTTACATGGTTAAACCTGAAATCTTTTTATCCTCTTTTTAACATGGTACATTGTCTTGCCTCTACCCTGAAAATCAAAACTTTAAAGTATTCTTTAATACAATAAAAACCTGTGACACCGTTTCAATAGTTTGACATTTTGATCTATTTTGCTCTGAGATCCAACTTTATAGGCAAATGTCATTGTTTCATTTTCCAAGTCTGAAATCTGCTTGCACGTAAAAGTAGTCTTGTTCTCTGTCTCTTAAAACAGCCATCTTCTTTTAAAAGCTTAAAACATTACAAATGTATTTTGGTTTACATAATGTTAGAACATGTACACATAATTGTGTGGAACTCTTCTAAATGTCAAGACAAATCAACTTCGTAAATGTCAACCCGACATTCTTGGAAACTCAGATCTCTCATGAAGGATCCTCCTTTAATTTACAATAAAAGTAGCAGCATTTCCTTCACTGTCTTCTCTACTACAAAAAATCTAGGCAGCTACATTCTTCCTTAGACACTCAGTTTGGTATTTTAGAGACACCATCTGCAAATATATGTACTATTACATTAAAAAAAATATGGCATTTATGCCATTTTGCATGTGTTTAAAATTAGTCCACTTAAATATTGATATGTTTCCAGTTTCTCAAATAACTGAATAAATGATAGTTATGTGATTCATTATGAAAATTCCATTTATACTGTTTTCCCTTTGAGAGAAATACTGAATTTTGGAATTTTGTACTAATTTTATTTCTCTGAGAATTTGCATTCATGTTAATGGAAATTGTGATAGCCTACAATGAATGATCAAAAGCAAAATAAAACAGCATATTTCATTTGAGTGGAGGGTTGTTTGCCACAGTCTGCCATGGAAAGCATGAAAATAAATAAATAAAATAAATACCTTTTTGGTTTTTATATAAATAAATCAGCATGTCTTTCCCTTAAAAAATTGAAAACCTGAAAGTTAATTCCACTAAATAAACTTACTTGGAACACGATGCTGATGTTAGAGTACAGCAATATGCAAAAAATAAGGACATATTTATTTCTCCATTCATTAAAAACTATATGGAATGTCTATTTAGTAAATCTCCAAAATTATGCAAATATTTACATGTCGTGAGTCTACATACATAGCTTTGTTTCATTTAAATGCTGTCTTTTAACCCTAAAATTTTACTAGGTTTTGGTAGAGAAGAATGTTGTACTCCTTGTTGAAGGAGGCTAATAAGCATGTTATTTAAAGCTACTCTTAAAATTTGCTTGTCTTAGCAACCAAATATAATAAAGCTTCTGGCTTGAGAAATATAATTCAAAAGCAATTTATCAAAACAAAGGTTATCAGCTGCATGATTACCAATGAGTAAATTACTCATCTTTTAAAGGGTAAATAACATAGCTGAACAGCTTACTTAGCTGTATCATCACAGGAATAATTTAAGTAGGAAGTGAAAGACATGAGAAAGGAATAAATCTGTGTAGAACAGATAATTCAATTTTAAGTATGTATTTTGATATTCTAAGAAAGAAACTATTGCTCTATGTAAAGACATTTATAAAAAAATTTAAATGTTTAATTTTAGTATCATAAATATAAAAAAGTTATATTTGTATAAAATCTATTAGAAAACTAAAATAAAATTTGTTTTTTAAAAATATATTTATTTGAATGGATCTAATTAAAACTTCACGATTTCTGAATTGATGATTTTCTACATAAGGCATATTGACCCAGTCTCAAGTGATGACACTATGCATTATCTTAGCGTCTATCCCCTCTTCTCATTCTATTAAGGATTTAGGCTTGTGTGTTGCTCTCTAAATATTGCTAAAATCACTTTTCATGTTGTCCTGCCTAATAATTTCCTAGTTTAAAGCCTTATAATCACCTAATCTGTCTGTTGCAATAGCTTTTTAATTTGTCTCCCTGCCTTAGTCTTGCTCTCCTTAAATCCATCATCATATTGAGGGCAAAGTGATGGTTCCAAATTATAAATCTGAACATGCCCTTTCCTTACTAACAATCTTCAGTGATTTCTCAGCTAAGATGACACTTCCCAACAGGGTGTTTGTGGCCATGTGTAGCCCCCTTATGTTACTCCAAGTGCAAAGTCCATCAGCTCGTTCTTAATGATTCAATTATGACACTGGATATTTATTGAGCCTACCATGAGCCAGTCATTGTTTGTGTTGCTGGAAATAGAGGAATAGGGATTTTTTTTTTTTCTGCTCACAGTTTTCTTCAAGCTCAAAGCATTGGCTCGCATTAGGAGAGGTAACACACAATGAGCCCTCCATGTTCTTGCATGTTCTTCCTGGCTATTCCAAGAATACATAGCTCTGATCATTCTTTTCCTAGGATACTTACCATCATATGTCCTCAGCAGGCAAACAGGAGGGAGGACATAACCCCTTTCCTAGACAAAATGTAGTCTTGTGTCTGCTTGCTATAACGGCAGTGAATTTCACTAGCTCAATGTATCTATTCATTAACAACCCAATAGATTATGATCATCCATCACAAGGCGCTGCATTGCTCCCATGTGTGCACACAGAAGGAGGACATGAACATGAACTTCTGGCTATTGCTTTTGTGATGAGTAATGAAGTAAAATGTCTTTGACCCAGGAGTCTCATGTCTCTGCCAGCATTCATGAAACAGTAACAAGCTAACTTGTTATAAGATAAAGTAGGATAAAGAAGGATAAAGTCCCAGACGCTCTGCAGTCCTTCACAGCAAATTCCTCTCTATTCTCATTCTTTTCCTATATTTGGAATAAAGCATTATATACCTTGACTTTATTTCTTAGGTTTATTTGATTACATAAGTCATTTTTGAAATGTGCTTTTGAACTATTTTCTACACAGCAATTTTAACCTGTATTAATATTTTAGATTATCTATAGAATACTTATTTTTGTAATCTTTATTACATAAATTTCTTCCTTGTTCCCCTGAAAAAAAATGAAAGTTATGTGAATTGAACCCAATTATACCTTTCCAGAAATAAATATAAGCAATCAATAGATAAAAAGTAGACAACTAATCAAAACCAAAGTTGAATCTATTGATAAGGAAGCAGTGAAAAGCCCAGATTTCTTGTTGTCAGCCATTTTTATAATAATAGACACTAGTTAAATATAGAAGCTATAACATAAAGAAAAATTGCCTTTGGCCTAGGCAAATTTGCTAGCTGAAGTTTTAGAAGATGGCCAACTCATTTTATCCACACTCAGACAACTGCCTAAAAAGGTTTGTCATATTTCTTATTTATTCTATTTATTCCTCTTCAGAAGAGCATATAGTCTTTTCCATAACAGTAGTCTGACTTATTTGCCTCATTCATAAAAAGTATTAATTTTTATCTCCCTTCGCAACTGTTATTGGATATTTTCATGTACAGGGCTTTTTTCTAAGCATTTTACAAATATTTTCTGATTAAATCTTTCCAATTGCTATGGAAGCAGGACTGTTTATTGTTTCTACTTTTTAATTGAGTAAGTTTAGGTTTGAAGAAGATACTGGTTTGCTCAAGGATATGAAAATTAATGACAGCTGAGCTGTTAATTCCACGCTGGTAAACTCATCAGGATCAGAGCTGCTAACCACACAACTTAACATTTCTTTCTTCCTCACAGTGAAAGACAACACAGCCAAATACATTTATACATATATACATATATATATACACACACACATATATATACATATACACACACACACACACACATATATATATACACACACACATACATATACACACATATCTATAGACAGGTTGATTGATTGATAGGATATTATTTCTTTCTTCTGCACTAAACTAAGCAATGCATGGGGTATTTCTTTCTAGCTTATTTGTTGTTTGAAAATTAAAGATCTTGAATGACTTTCATGGACTTGTAGCCTGTTAGTTGCCCTATCAGGCAAACCATTCCAAATGTCACAGAACAGAAACAGAAAGGCTCACAAGTCAAATTAAAATGCTCATATTACATCAGTTTAAAACACAGTCAGATAAAAGTGACGGGGCAGCTTAAAGTAGTTAGGACAAGGTGTAAGTGAGCAGAAAGGCAACACTACTTGAGTCCTAGACTATATGATGGTAATGCATACCGTTTATCTCTCTACCACATCAGCCTTCCACATGAATGGTATAGTCATGAGTACCAGGGTGCAGGTTTGAGCAAGGGGCCCCTGTGCTAATGACACAGACTTGCCATAAGGCAAGACAAGTAAAAGTATACCAGATAAAAACTGGTTTTACCAAATAGGTGGCTGATTTAGGGGTAATGGAGTTATCAGCCTGTGTATTATAATGACTTGGTCTTTCTATTTCTCTCATTTGTTACATGGTAATTCTCTATCGTTGGTGTGGTTTAAGGGTACTAAGTTAATATACACATATAACAAGTCATATAATTTCAGACTGTTTGATTAGCTTTTTACATATACATTGTCTATAATTAACATATCCAATGCATTTTAATTCTCACTCATAAGTTACTAGATATTTTACTATATAAGCTTAACTTTTTAAGCTTTTAATTTAGGTTTAGGGGTACGTGTGCAAGTTTGTTATATAGGTAAACTTGTGTCATAGGGGTTTGTTTTGCAGATTATTTCATCACTCAGGTACTAAGCCTCATACACAATAGTTATTTTTTTCTGATTTTCTCCCTCCTGCCACCCTCCACCCTCAAATCTGCCCTGGTGTCTCTTGTTCCCATCTTGGCGTCCATGTTGTATTGTTATTTAGCTCTTACTTATAAATCAGGACGTGCAGTATTTAGTTTTCTCTTACTGCATCAACTTGTTTAGGATAATGGTCTCAAACTCCATCATGTTCCTGAAAAGAATGTGATCTCATTCTTTTGTGCAGCTACATAGTATTCCATGGTGTGTATGTTTTTATCCAATCTGTCACTGATGGGCATTTTCAACTTAACTTTTGTTATGAGTCTCATCTCATCTAATGAGTGCATCCTTTTCTTTATGGAAGAAGTGAGTATTCCAAGATAATACAAAAAACACATAGTACAATTTGTTTAATGTGCTGAAGAATGTTAATGAAATCAATCCCATGATAATGCCATTATTTTTGGAAACAGATTTATATTTTGATTATACTTATTTTTGCATATTTTAAGTTCACTTTTTTGTCTCAACCTCTGTGAAATATATCTCCCCAATGATTTCAAATGATTTTTTGACAGCCCACATAGCAAATGTTAGCACTTTATGCTTATTATCTGTGTCTTTAAAAGCACTGCAAACTGAATATCATTGATGGTATAAAGTATATAAATTTCTTTACATGGTTTTCTTAAAGAACTATATGCAGAAATATATGGGAAGACGAGTAGCTCTTCTAATCATTTATGGTTTTCTGTTCATATAGATGCCATGGCTATAAGTTACTTTGTGTTATAAAACATTAGTTTTCAATGAAACAATTTGTGGTGCTGTTAAACTTATATTGCAAATATTCAGTTTGAAATAAACTGAAAATAAAAGGTCAAACTTAAACTTGAATTCAGATACACTGAAATATAGGCAATTTGATTAAAAAGTGTTTATGAACTTACCAAAATCAAAATATTTACAAGAAAAATGCCTTTTTGAAACATTAATTGGAAGATTTACTATAGCATGCCTTTTATACCATTTTTAGACCATATTCTTGCCAACACTTAATGAGGGAAATCACTATTCCTTCATGGCCAAGATATTAAACATTTCTTGATTAATAATTACAAATCATAAACAAAAATTTTCTAAAATATTTTTCTCCATTTATTCTCTTAAATTTGAAAGCCCATGATTCCCAAAGAGACTTACTTCAAATTGGTAAATTTTGGCCACTAAATTTTATGTTCATCAGTGCAGTATTTTTCCCCAGATTTCTAAGAAGGACTCTGTGCTCTTCAATTCATTTATAATGCATTCTTAAGCTGTTTTGACTGGACATAACTTAGAAATAAAAACTCTTAGCAACATCTGAAAAGACCTCACAAATATGTATTCATTCAACAAACACTAATGGATTATCTTATTATGTGCTGTACACTGGGGTAGGTACCAAAGATGGAACATTGATGAAAAAAGACATAAGTCCTGCTCTCAAGTAATTTACAGAGTAGTAAGAAATGTTACTATTAGAAAGTAATTACAATAAAGAATAATGAACGATGTGGTTTGGCTGTGTCCCCACCCAAGTCTCAACTTGAATTATAGCTCTCATAATTCTCACGTCATTGGAGGGACCTGGTGGGAGGTAATTGAATTATAGGGCAGGTCTTTCCCAAGCTGTTCTCATGATAGTGAGTAAGTCTCAATAGATCTGATGGTTTTATAAAGAATATTTCTCCTGCACATGCTCTCTTGCCTGCTGCCATGTAAGACGTGACTTTGCTCGGCATTTACCTTCCACCATGATTATGAGGCTTTCCTAGCCATGTGGAACTGTGAGTCAATTAAACCTCTTTCTGTTATAAATTACCCAGTCTCAGAAATATCTTTATTAGCATCATGAGAACAGACTAATGCAATGAGTTTTTTCATATGTAGTGTGAGGTGCTAGAGAACCACATAGCAAGGTGACAAAAAACTGACTAGTGTTTTAATTGTCTATCCATATAGATGCATATACCAGGAGAATACAGCTAAGAAGTGCATACATTAATATTAGCAATTGCTTCAGTATGTGTGTCTGTGTGGTGTGGGGATGCGTGTGTGTACTCATTTTCTTTTGATATGAGTTATTTGGTTTTCTTTTATTTTTGCATTGGTAGAAAATGCATTACAATGCATTTTTATTTTTAAATTAAAGGAATTAATATAAAGATTTGGATGATGTGCAATAATGTAGACAGTACTTAAAACAAAATACAATCCCATATGAAAGTACATAATGTGATGAGACTTTTGTTAGAACAATACACTTTTATGTATTTATTGAGACAGAGTTTCTCTTTTGTTGCCCAGGCTGGAGTGCAATGGCATGATCTCAGCTCACTGCAACCTCCGCCTCCCAAGTTCAAGCGATTCTCCTGCTTCAGCCTCCCAAGTAGCTGGGATTACAGGCGTGTGCCACCACGTCTGGCTAATTTTTTTGTTTTAATTATTTTTAGTAAAGACAGGGTTTCATTATGTTGGCTAGGCTGGTCTCCAACTCCTGACCTCAGGTGATCCACCCGCCTCAGCCTCCCAAAGTGCTGGGATTACATGTGTAAGCCACTGCACCCGGCCAGAAAAATATACTTTAAAAATGTACATAACACACACACACATATTTCAGCAAATTAAAAAAAAAAAATTCTTATGCATACTGTGTTGATTTTCAAAATTGTTTCTGGAAATATTATCAGACTGAAACTTCATAAGTAAATGGAATACTCCTGGCAATATATCAGAAAATATTGTTATAAATTATCAACGTTTACTCATTAGCAATTCAATTATATATATATATTTTTTCTTTTTTGTAGACAAACATGAAAGATAATAAGGTTTTCTTATTTTTGCCCTAGACTTTACAGGAGTACTTTATAGTCAGCTATGGAATATGAATTGTATTATTTTTATTCTAACTAAATCTGCAAGAAATTTTTGTACACTTACAAATGTGTCTGAATGTTAATACATATAAATGTGTACATACATGTACATATGTAGACATTCTTTCTTCCTTTAAAAAGAAGTTTGAATATATTTCTCTTAATGATACAATACGAAAGGGGGTATTATATTTTAAAACATGACCTAGACCAGTTATAGATCTATCAATCCATATTGTGGGAGATGTTATTAAATTGAAACACAATTTATAAATTATGTCTTTATTTTTATTAAATTTATACATCATTTATATGAAGCCCTGGGCTTGTATGTTTAGTCTTATATTCTCAAATTCATAAATGAGATACTTAATATATAATTAATATGTTTTCTTTTTAGCCTTACCATAAAAATTCTCAAACTCCAGCACTTACACTCACATTTCTAAGGAAAAAGTTAACCCTAATATCACTAACTTCTTTCCAATTTAAAAAACAGATAGTTTCAATATGATATGTTACTTATGATAGAAATTAGATTTTTATTATGGGAAGAAGTATAAACTGGACATGAGACCTGTAGGAAAAGTATGATTGGAATTAGCAACTAAGTTGATGTAAGTTCCAAAAGATGTCATGTTGTATCAAGATTTTAATATATGTGAAAAATTGTTGGTGGTATCATACATTTATTCCAATGTACTTAGGTACATCCTCATGATTTCTTTCTGTATCGGATATATATATATATATATTCATGCAACAGGAAGCTCTAGTTGGCCTTTTTCACATGCTTTTTACTCAAGTTCTCAAGATAGCTGCTTCAGTTCCAGACGTGATATCTAAGTTTAGAACAATAATTAGGGACAAAATGGAAAGGCTTTGCTTGTTGCACCTGTACTTTTTCCATCATTTTGGTCATTGTTTTGGTTAATCGGAAAACAAAAACTTTTCATAAGTTTACTCCCTTTCTGCACCTTTCTCCTTCCCACCACCTGCAGACGTCTGTTTATACCTCTCTGGTCAGATATAGATTCCATGCCATTTTCAGCTGTAAGCGTGTCTGTAAAAATAAGTACTGTATTCATCTTCCCAGCATCACTGAGGTAGGTAGTGAGAAAATTTTTGAGTATTTAGAGTATCTGAGAGGTACCAAGCAGGATCCCAACAGCAATATCACTTTTACTAAACTTTCTACATAATTTTCTAGGAAAGGGTGAATTTTAATCAGTTCATTTTTCTAATATAGAATCTAATTTCATTGGCTATAGCTAATAAATACATTTTTTAAAAAATTAAGAAAAAATAAAGTTTATTCAAGGTTTTGAATAAAACATAAAGAATATCTGTCATGCCTGATGAAAGAGATCATGCCATGATCAGTAAAATTATGTATAAACTTATGTGTGATAAATGTTCATTGTCATACAATTGTTTATAAAATAAGATATCTCAAAAAAAAAAAGAAAATGTGGCACATATACACTATGGAATACTATGCAGCCATAAAAAATGATGAATTCATGTCCTTTGTAGGGACATGGATGAAGGTGGAAACCATCATTCTCAGCAAACTATCGCAAGGACAAAAAACCAAACACCGCATGTTCTCAATCATAGGTGGGAATTGAACGAGAGCGCTTGGATATGGGAAGGGGAACATCACACACCAGGGCCTGTTGTGGGGTGGGGGGAGAGGGGACGGATAGCATTAGGAGATATACCTAATGTAAATGATGAGTTAATGGGTGCAGCACACCAACATGGCACATGTATACATATGTAACAAACCTGCACGTTGTATACATGTACCCTAGAACTTAAAGTATAATAAAAAGAAATATTAAAAAAAATAAAATAAAATAAGAGATCTCAAAGACAAAGCTTAAAGTAGATTCGATAAAATCTCAAACATTCACATTTAACCTCAGGATAACTCATGTGTGAGTAGTAAACGGAAGGAAAACATTTTCACATGATATAAAATTTTGCTGTTCCTGTAAATGATAGATAGAAGTAAACTCATGTATGTTGACAGAAATTGAACTTGACACACACAAAAATAAAATAAATGAAATTGGAGTGTAAAAGATATTGCGGGAGGACAGCAGGTTTCTTAGTCCATTTGTGGTGCTGTAAAAAATATGTGAGACTGGTTAACTTCTAGAAAACAGAGGCATATTTCTGACAGTTCTGAGAGCTGGGAAGTATAAAATCAAAGTACTGGCTAGTGAGAATTGGTCTCTGCTTCCAAGATGACAACTTCTTGCTGAATACTGTGATAGGGAGGAATGCTGTGTCTTCACATGGCAGAAAGCAGAAAAGCAAGACACACTGTGGACACTGTGTGTAGCCCTTTTTTTTTTTTTATCAGGATTTTCATCCCATTCATGAGGGAGAAGTCCTCATGGCCTAATCATCTCTTAAAGGCTTCGCCTCTTAATAACATCACATTGGCCATTAAGTTTCAACATTTGAATTTTGGAGGGGAAACAACCATAATAATGGGGTAAATAACTTTATTGACTGAAGAAAGAACAAATAAACAAGAAGGACACTGAGAAAAACAGAAAAAGGGAAGGAGAGAGGAAGTAAGGATTTAAAGAAGGAAGGAAAAAGGATAAAAGGAAAATGGGGAAAAATTCAAAGGAGAAACAGCATTTCAGAGTAACAAAGTTAAATGTTATAGGAAGCTTCCACATTTTATCTAGTAAATCTATTTTCAGTAAGGAGCTATCTCTATAAAGCAAATGGTATAACTTTCAATAATGTTCAGCCACAGGCAGGAAATTTTCTACTAACAAATTACATCTGTTTTCTAAAGGTGGTATATAAAACATTGTGTCACACATCCAGGCAAATATTAATTTTCCTCCTCTTTGTTAACTTACTGCTGACCACACTTAATCTTTCACAAAATATTGATGACCTTTTTCATAGAAGGACAGATCATGGTTATTCCACAGTTGACTCAGAAATTTTGATGAGCCACTGATGTGCCTTTTTAAATTTGGAAAAGTTAAAGACAATTATTTTACCTGATGAGTTAATAAATTACAAAATGCATCGTTAGGAAATAAAGTGCTTTGAATTAGTGTATTTTCTAGATAACGGGAGTCTGCTATTTAGTTGGCATAATTAGGGAGAAATAAACATTTTTAATATACATTTTTCTCAAAGGCTGCACAGGATTCTCTTATTTCTTTGGGGGCACAAATCTTTAATGCACCTTTTCTTGGTGACTGCTGACACTGACTCCTCACTTGAGCAAACTTTTTTCAAGCTCCTCTGAGGCCTTTTCCTGCAGACTTTGTTCTTGATCCCATCCTTGGCCTGCGGAGTGGGTTTGTTAGGTAGTTAGATTGACACTAGCAGCTGGGAAGAAAAGCTGCTATGAGAAAAGAAAGCAGACAAGGCTGTCACTAAGACAGCCCCTGGCCCACCTAGGTTCAACCCCAAGACTGCCCTGACTCTACTCTGATGGAATTTGTGGTAAAGTCTGTGGCAAGCACATTCTGTAGAAGGAGAAACTAGGGCACAGGTGAAAATTCCCTAAAGTGACATGTGCTCGGTAACCTAAAACTGTATCTTCGAGTTGACCCTAAGTTCATTTTACCCTAAGCTCATTATAATAAAATTTACTTGCGATTTTGCTCCCTGAGTGGGCTTTTCTTAATGAATTATGGGTAAAAACATATGCAGTTTAATTCTAGCTCTGTAACCATAAACTTCAATCAAATAACATCATCCTTTCGTTCAGACACAGCCCAAACCTCAACTCCCCCCACCAAGCCCCATAAAAGCACCCTGAGTTCTGTAAAAAGCAGTTGATTTCACTTCGCAGAAATCAGCCCACTCTCCCTCTGAGAGTGTATTACTATGCTTCAATAAACTTTGCTTGGAGCTTGCATTTTGGTGTTAGTCTGCAATACTTTGCTTACCATCACAAGAACTGAGATTGTTGGCCCAGAGCTCCAGCTCTGTTAATCTCCATTAAATAATCCATTCCAATGCAGAATTCTCAGTAACAAGTTGAGTCTGCTTCTATCAAAGAATCCTGCTAAGCCAGTTTATTGAGAATCCTCCACTCTTGATATCCAAGTAAGCACTTCTTCCCCACCCTTCATTCCTAAACAAGTCGTCTTAGAAATTTCACATTCAGTCTTAGCTACAAATCACCACTTGTCTCTGTTGTATTCAGAGTTGAGTTTAACCTCTCTCTTTTGTTTTTTATCACAATAGTCTTGACCTCTATTGAAACAGTTTTGAGTAAAGTCTTCTTTGCCATTTTAACAAATATAAAAATCATTTTCTTTTACACTGTAAAGTATTATTATGACCAAGAATTATTCAGCATGATGCCCACATTCTGATGTCTGTTTGTATCTGTCACACACACAGTTGCACTCCAGGATCCTGGCAGCCTTCTTCCTTGTAATTTCCTTTTTCTAATCTGCAGTGTTTAAGAAATCGGATAATCAAAGTTGTTAGAATTGTATGCAATTTAAGGAAATAAACTCTAAATGATGTTCTAATGCTTAGTCTTCGTAACAGCTATTTCTGTAACCCAAAATTCACTTTCTCCATTATTTTAAATTCTCAACTATGTTTAGAAGACGAGAGTAGCAGGACACACCAACTGTGAATGAAGAAAATGCTACTATATTAAAAGTAGTGTATAAAGGCACTAGAAGTTACATCTTTTTGATTTGGCATGAAAAGAAAGCTTTAGACGGTCAACAAAGCTTAAAATTTGTGGCTCTGTCTGTGAATGATTATTATATATAAATGATAACACATTTTTTACAACCAATTCTTGCTTTCAGCTGGCATATTTGTCAACGAATAAGTGGAATGACTCAAATTTATACTTGACTGCCAGACTGGAAGCATCTCTCTTATAGGATTTATTTTCTTTTTATAAAATGTAGTCGCAGTGAACGGTGATGGCCAGAAAAAAAAAAAAAAGAAAGAAAAAAGCTTAAAACATTACATAGGATTCAGATGAGCCTAACTTGAGTATTGGTATTTTATGTAATTCAACCATAGTTTTCAATATTGAGTATGAGAAAGAAAATTTCAATGGATTCCATACTTTCCCTCAGTGCTAATTACAAATAATCTTTGAATCTCACAGTTTATTTCAGGGATTAGCCAATCTAAAATAACTAAGAGAGGATTTTTGTTTGTTTGTTTTGTTTTGTTTGTTTTGAGACAGAGGCTTGCTCTGTTGCCCAGGCTGGAGTGCAGTGGCACCATCTTGGCTCACTGCAACCTCCACCTCCTGGGTTCCAATGATTTTCCCCTCATCAGCCTCCCAAGTAGCTGGGATTACAGGCACCTGCCACCACACCCAACATGTAACTCAGTTAAATAAACAGACAAGCAATAGCACATAATTTTTTGCTAAAGATTCCTCACACCTTTTAAACTTGACTTTCTGAAGAAATAGTTTAAACAGCTAAAGTAATTCATGCAGATTCTGAGGATACATATGAAATTTAACAGGAATACTTCCAGATATTCACATTCTCAGCCATATTACTCACATTGCCAAAAGGCCTGGTCAAATGTAATATTGGATAGGAACTCCTCACATGACTATAATACAACTAGAAATTCTTTTTCCCTTTTATAAGTCCTAGCAATAAAGGGACAATACTAAGCTATTAGAACTGGAAAGGGTTTTATACAAATTATAATATAAACATCTTTTGTAGCAAATGTGAAAATTGATGCCTACAGAGATTAAGTAAGGAAAAAGCCAAGATTAGAATTGAATACCTCCATTCCCCAAGTGTATATTTTTACCTTGTAAAAAAGTTAATGGGTTCTTTTAGTGCTTCATAGGTAGAAATAAAATCCTATCCTTCTTCCAATTAGTCATATAGTTCATGTAGGTATATTGAGAATGATAGAGATAATTAATTTCTACCCTTTGCTAGGAATCACTCAAGATCAACAAGTTTGTCAATGAGAGATAGAGAAATGATTACCCAAGTAACTGAAATCTGAGGAAGACAAGTATTGTAAGTGTATAAAATGATATAAAGGAGGCAATATTTAAAAACTAAGCTAAGAAGGGGCATAATTATACATTTATCCACATTTTCTGCTATTAGTTACTCATAAAGAATAACCTAATGTGTGCCCACAGAAATATTGACATCAATCATTGTCTCCAGGAAAATACGGGATAGGTATCTGGCGTTCACTATTGATTTTGTACCCCTGGAACCATCAAAACAAATTAAAATGCTGGGATGGTCCTAGGAAATATTACAATGAGGTCAGATTGAGCCTTTACACAATTAGTATACATGGAGCATGCAATGACCAATATTCATCATTGATATTGTAAATAATAATTGTGCACTGTTAAATGTGGTTTAGGGATACCAAACATAGTTTTACCATTTACGATGGATGTATCTCTTAAAGCAAGAACATAAAACATTGTTAAACAGCCATTTTTCCCTTAGCTTTCTTAGTCACTCTTATTTGCAAAAGATATACTTTTTTTTTTTTTTTTTTTTTTGTGACGGAGTCTCGCTCTATCACCCAGGCTGGAGTGCAGTGGCGGGATCTCGGCTCACTGCAAGCTCCGCCTCCCGGGTTCACGCCATTCTCCTTCCTCAGCCTCCCAAGTAGCTGGGACTACAGGCGCCCGCCACTACGCCCGGCTAATTTTTTTGTATTTTTAGTAGAGACGGGGTTTCACCGTTTTAGCCGGGATGGTCTCGATCTCCTGACCTCGTGATCCGCCCGCCTCGGCCTCCCAAAGTGCTGGGATTACAGGCGTGAGCCACCGCGCCCGGCCAAGATATACTTTTGTATTAACTTGTGAAGTAGTATCTGAGTTGCTTTTTAGTAGTGTCTACATATCTGATCCATTGTATCTGAATATTTGTACAATTAATCAGCTTGTTCATAAACTGTTGGCACTAGTCTTTGGCAAAATTATTATTTCTCTTATGACTTGCATTGTCAGAGGTATAGCAGGCTTTTCCTATGAGACCCCTTTCCAGCAACAGTCAATAACTGCTAGACCAATTAAAACTTGGTAGGCAGGAAGTGCTTTTGGCTTAGTTTAGTTTTTGTTTTGTTTTGCTTTGCTTTCCTCCTTTTTAAATATTTTATGAGGAATGACACTTTCAGAGGAGGTGACTGTTACTTTTATGACATAACTTGCCTTTCTACATAATTGAGCCTCTCAGGGCCAACTGCCATTAGCGCACCACTTAATGGCACATTGGATACAAAAGTAACTCATACTCACAAATAATTCCATGTTTGAGATGCAGATGTCCAGCATCTTCCATCCAAGAAAATATAATTTCCATAATTTTATATTATATAAGGTATTTGAGAACTGTGTCACATAAGTAGTTTATTTACGGTTTTTATCACATGTCAAAATGTATGCCTCATTTGACGCTATTTTAAAGGTTTAATTCCATAGCAAAAATTATTGATGCTAAGAGTAAAACAGTTTGAGTTTCCTTCGCTTGTGTATCTATGAGACTGCCCTCCAGGATGCCAATGACAGTGTATTGCAGTGGTAAGCCAACCGTGTTACCAGGGGTACTGCATTCATTCTTTTACTCAACAAATACCACGGACTCTTGTAATGCAGCCACTGTTTTAAGTATTGCATTACCTAGATAGAGGGACTAACTATGCAATTAACAAGATAGATGGCAATTAACAAAGCAGTTAACAGAACAGATAAAATATCTCCCATCATGAAGCTTATATTTCACTCCACTAAAATTTTGCCTGACCATTTCTGTTTCTCTCGATGTAGGAACCTTATTTATTGCACATAAGACATTATTTTTAATAATCATTTTATTGGTGTTATGCACATAATAAGCAACAGATTGTCATCTCTTGATTAAATAGTAAGGAAAATAATTCATTTGGCAATGTAAGTACTTGCAATTCTGGATTTTTTTATTGATCTAAATAAATCCTTTTATCTTGTTTTCTCATTTACAATATGTAGTTCCCTAAAAACAAAATAATAATGATAAAAAAATAGTGCTTCATATTTTGAAACTGAGGAAAGTTAAGATAACTCAACTGAGGAAGGAATTAACTAAAGTTAAGAGAATTAAACTCAGAGAATTATATTGACTCTATTAAACAGATTATGAGTTCAGAACCAAAATGCTAGCTGTAACAATTTGGCCCTTTTTTATATGAAAGGTGTATTGTATTCTTTCAAATGGGATGAAATGTTTTTTTTTTGCTCTGTGTAGTTTTTTGCTCTGTGTAGTTCTAATGCCTTCTTGGGAACTAAACACACAGGCACACACAGACGCACACACATCATTCCTGTACCAGTTTACACACACGTGAAAACACAATACCCACACGTGCAATTATAGCGACCCTCCCGTTTAGATATTGATTATCAATTATTAAGGCAGCATAACTGTGAAATAAATTGTGGTTTTATCTCCATTTTCATATTTATTTTGTTGACTGTTTTCCACATAAATGACTGTAACTGCTTTTAAACTTATCAAAAGTTTCCTTTGGCTTTGTAAATTGAGTGAATGGAACAATTGTTCTTTCTGCTTACACAGAGAAACAAACAACTTTGTAAAAACAAAAATTCTGTTCTTGGGCGGCCCCTATTTTTATCTTGGAGAGGATTCCCATTATCCAGACTCATAAGCTCGGCATGGTGAAATCTTATGATAGGCCCTTCCTGACTTTCCAATCTGTTACCTTCTTCATTCCATGCAAAATGAAATTCTGGAAATGCTTCAGAAATAGCAACCTCTTAAGGGTTCTGTGTTCTTACGTAACTTGCTATCTGCCTAGACTATATTTTTCCTGCTCTTACTTCATTTATTTTAACAATTCTATGTATGATTTCCCAAAACTCAGTGACCCTGGAACATTGTTTTGTCTGCAAGACATGGCAGGGTGCCTAGCAATGCTATTTACTAAATAAAATTTTCCTAGCCAAGTCTCCATGAGATCAGTAAAGAAATTATCTAATTTTCCAACAACAACATACTTTCTTCAACCAAAATTTGGAGGCCAATGAAATGAAAAACATCAGAGTATTATTGGAGATAAATAGCTATCAACCACAGCTTTAGAAAGTTTGAGCTTGCCTGTTGCTGACTCCACATTGCAAATTCTTACATTAGTTCTGCTAGACTGATTACAGATATTGTAGGATGTTTGCCAGGTTATAGATCTCATTATTTCCAACTTTTATTACCTTCTTTTTTATTTCTCATCAAACGGAGGACCTATTGCATACATTTTAGGCAAACTCTTTGAAGTATATCCAATCCTGTCCTTCAGAGGAAGTTTCTTTAGGCATAACCTCACATGTGTTGATTGCTTAACCCACACCACTTACCTTTCACTATAGTTACGGTCTCTGTCTTGCCTGCTGTACATTGCACATGCTCCTAATAGACTCTTTATTAAAGATTATAACAAATTATTTTTGTGCCTTTCTCCGAAGTTTCAACTCTCAAAGTCAGATCATGGCCTCAGTCTTATCATTCTTCTCCTAGGATCTAATGCTATGTTCTAATTCTGTATTATATTGTCAAAAGACAGTTGTTGAATGAATATCCTTCAGACATTTTAAGGAATGAATACTTGAATTCCAGAACTTGCATATGGATGATTTACTCATTTTCATAGTGTGTATTCACAAATTTATTAATTTACTAATATATTTTATTTTAAGGAAAAGGAAATAAAGAAACAAAAGCTGGCATGTTCTTACAGCAATATTATAGCAATACTAATAGATAGAGTATCTTTGAAAATTTAGACAATTCTATTCTTTTTACCTTTCAATAAATAATCCATTTTTGGAAGTACTTCAAAAGCCGTATAATAAATTTCAAATATAATTTCTCATTTGTTTTAAAATTATATCTAAAGCTGAACATACTATGACAAGTCTTCAACACATTCCACACGGAGTAAAATAGACAAGGAATGAGGATGGATTCGTTTAAAAATTATATTGTTAAAAAAGTGGAGATTTTACCTCAGACAATATTTTAGCAATACCATCTTAACAGTGTTTCGATTGGGCCATGTAGGGTTATATCAAGTATAAAATAGATTGGATCTATTACAGTATTTTCAGATTATTGGTTGCAACTGATTAAGGTTATAAAATCAATTTAATGACTTTGCCACTAATATACTGTTAATAAACTAGAAAACATAAGAAATACGCTGACAATAACAGTGTATTGCACATTACATTATGAAACGGTGTGTGCATGTGTATGTGTGTGTGTGTTTATCTTGTGTATCTAAGTCCTGTGGTTTCTGATCTTTCAAGTCTGAAAACTCTCATTTCAGAGGACCTCAAAAATATCCTTCAAAACAATAGTTTACAACCTTTCAAGAACATAGCATAATTAAATAGTGTGCAGGAATCCACCAAACTTACTTTCCCACAGCAAACCTTAGTTTTTTCTATTCAGTGTGAAGTCCAGATATGTTGTGTGAGGCTGTTGACTCCCAATGAATATTATAGGGAATCAAAATATTTGATTAGTGCAAAAGTTTTGTGGAATTATGTTGATCCAAAAATATCATCTCACCTAAATCCTGTTTTAGATCAAATATGTACATATTTCTAAAATCAGGAGGTGAGCACTTTAGAGGTGATTGTGTGCTTCATTCACTGGACAAACAAGTTAAAAAATGACGCAATCAAGGGTTTTATTGATTTGTCACCATTACTTAACACTATTAATTACTATTTAAAAGAATAAATTATTTTTTAAAAAGGCATGGAACTTATGTGTATTTCACTATTTTCATTTTACAAATGATTTTGTATGTCTCATTTTTCAGTGTTTCTACACTCGTATCTCCTAACATAGTGGAGGTCTAGTAAATTATAATTAAAGGAAAGAAGACTGCTTTAGAAAACATTTTGGTGGAACAGGTGGAAAGACTGGGATAGAAAACAGAGTGAAATATTCAGGAGATAATCAATCTAGAGCAATAGAAGGTACATGTAGCAGCCTTCTACTTTCATCAGTATCAGGATAATCATTATAATATGAAATGAGCCACATTCTTCTCATTTCTCATATTGATCATATATTGAGCCCACTCTCCTTCAACCCTCTAATTCTCTCCTGATTCATTAGTTGCCTTAGCCTCTCATTGCTGGTTTGTAATACATTTACATGAGATTGAATTTATTCATTCTCATCTCCCATGTCTAAAGAGGGTTTAAGGTGAAGCTTGTTAATTTGATGAATGAATTTTACAGTTTAGGTCAGCTTAACAGCTAAAGAACTAGACCTATCTTTGCAGAATATTAGGTAGCAATCTCTCCAAATAAGTTTATTTAGAGATGTGGGGTATATAGATACCTGATGAATTATTTTCTTTCTACATTTGCTGTTCATTTATTCTATTTTCAGAGAGTGGATAATGTTCCACAAACACACACACAAATAGGAATATATATACATACATATATATATATATATAATTTGGGGGCAGGGGCAAGAAAGTCTGACTCTATACAAAATTCATTCCTTGATCCATGTAGAAAAGGAAAGTACTTTATTCGTGAATAGGGATGATATATCAGCATGTTCTTTTTGTCTATTTGACTTGCTAACAGGAAGATGTTGATACTAAGGCAATGGAATTAACAGAAATTTTAAATATGTCACTGCAAAGAAATGTTTATATTCATGTTATAATGTCAAAAATACCCTTAAAATATACTTATATTTCAAGTGAAATCTGTATTTGCCTTTTATTCTACCATCTTTTAAATTTTTATAAAGCATAACATCCTTAAGCAGATTGAAATGGTAATAGAATGTGAACATTTTATTCTATAATTTTATTTATTATACACACAGGATTTTTCTAATACATATTACTTTTATTTTCAAGTAATTGAGGTTTTTCTGTAAGGCTATTATTTGTTTCATTCTACTAATTTTTTCATGGAGCATGAATAAAACTTATCTTTGTTTTAAAAAATGAAATTAGGAAAGTTATTTTGGGTACTTAAAAAACATGCAAACTCTCTGAATTGTGTTGCTTTCAGCAGAACGTTCATTTATTTTAAGGCTATTCACTTGGAGAACATTGGATTCAAATGATTACATTTTAAAGTTAGTTCAATTTTGATGAAATTGAAAATATCAGTTTTCATTATAACCAAGAGACTACTCATAAAAAAAATACCAGGAAGAAATTATGCTATCTACTCTGAAGTACAAAGTCACCTTACCAATGCATAAGAACATTAATTACTCTAGGCATAAATTATTCATCTAGTAACTTTCTCTCTTAGATCATGAAATAATTTCTCTGTAGTACAAAAGAAATTGTATTAATTTTTTTCTAAATTATGTGATACTTTTTTAAAGCAAGAGTCTATTTTATTCTATCAAGTTACATATAGTAATTAAGAATTAATGGTTCTTAGGCTCTAAGAAGGGAGCTATGGGATTATAAAAAGGTATATAAGGCAAGGCAATGTAGTATTTATATTAAACAAAAAGTCTTCATTATATTCACCTCATACAATGAATATTTAACATTGTATCATTTTTTTTTCCTAAGCAATGTATTACTGGACTGTGTTGATGTAACACCACATGTAAATCTGTCACCTTCTTTGTCTATCTAACAATTTGTTAGCAATTAACTAGAGATATATTCTGTATCTTCTGGAAATATTTTATTTATTTTCTTTGTACATTTTTTGGTTTTGTCATTCTGTATTTAGGCTTCTTTTTATTTAAATCATCATCATTGCATTAGAATTCACTGGAGTTATTATTTGTAACTCAAATCTAAATGTTCCTCATAGAATAATAATTTATGATGAATTGCTGCGGGAGTAAAACCACTTCCCTTACTAACAGTTTTGGGAATTTTTTTTTTTTGGTTTTTTAGTTTTTGGCATCTGTCAAATTCTTAGAAACCACCAAAATAAAATATGGTGATATTTTACAGCCCTAAAGTTAATTCGCAAAAAAATTTCATGTGAATTTTGTATCAAAAATATATATGTGTATGTATATATGTGTATGCATATGGGTCTAAATATGTATGTATTCATATATATATATACACATATATACATGTTTATATATATTTAAGAAATACTTGCATTAAATATCAGATTCTTTTACCTCTGACATATTTTTTCAGGATAAATGAAAATAAGATAAAGGAGCTACCACGTGTCCTGTTACTTTTACTGACAGATTATATTTATTGATAATAACCATGTTTATTTTCATGGGAACAGTGAAAGTAAGTTACATAAAATTAAGCTAAGAAAAGCTAAGCTATTGAGTATACACAAGAGCATGATAGAATAGTGGGAAGTCTGAGTTCAATTTCAATTTAAGAATTCATGAATCAAATAATACCTCACTTTAAAGTGTGGACAGGAAGGGAAGGCAAGCCGGATTCCCACAACAGAATGGAACAATCAATGGACCCAATTAACAACAACTGTTTCTGGCAATTTGAAATGTTACTTCATTATCTGGAAGTAGGGTGAAATGGATCTTCCTAATTATTTTCTTCCCCTGGGCTGCACATATTTATGCTTACTATATAGTATGTAGTAGTGCATCAGAGACAGGGAAAGGTGATTTAAGCAACATATGTAAATAAATATAAACCAATATTGTTATGAGATTTAAAATCTCAGTGTGCTCAGTTCTAGATCATATGGCTTCTATGTATAACAGTTAACTTCAAAAATCTTTGAAAACTTAGAAGTACTTAGGTTAAGCCTAACGAAAAGGCAATATAAACGTGATGATAATAATGATATCAATAATAATTGTGATGTTTAAAATAGTTCACAAAAATTGACAGAGGATTCTCAGATAAGCATACTATTTGATTTTACCTTTGATATCTTTCACCACTTTTAAAATGTGTTCTCACAGATACTTGTGACAGTTAAGTATCTTAAAAAGTGTCTTACTTATTTTTCTTTTCTGGACTTACACTCCTGGTGTTGAATTTGCATTATGTGGGAGCAAGGTGGCAGGCTAAGCTATTTTCTTCTCATGATCTTGCATCAGGAAGCACTGTAGAAGCTGGTGTTGTTACACCGAGATTTTCCAAATTGAAACATCCATGCGGTTGGCCTATTCCAGACAGTGGTTTTAACTTGTCAGTATTTGTAACAATATCAGATGTAGGACCTGCCTTACCCACAATTGAGGTTTCTATTTCACACAGGGAACTAAAGAGGGGTTTGCAGGCCTGAGGTTGGGGGCATAGATACTGGAAATGTCAGCAATATCATCTAGAAAGTCCCTGATGGACATGAATTTTGAAAATAGTAATTGATTAGCTCTTTTGTTCATGCAGCTTATTAACTGCATTGTATCTATCACTTTTCTTAGTACTGGCTGTACAAACCCTGAAGATACAAAGGAGGACAAGATCTGGTTAATCCTTCATGTCCCAGAACAGTTGAATGAAATTGGCACTGACATGTCAATAAATGTTGACACACTCAGCTGCCTTGAATGACATTTAAGAGGCAAAACGCCTTTTTCTTTGAATTTGAGCTTGAGGTTATGTGTGTGTGTGGTGGGGAGAGGGAACGGTCACTACTGTTTCTTCATTTCTAAATTGCATCTTCACATTGCTATATACTAGGTTGCATACAGAAGAACTTACTTGTGCTGGTTTAAGCCAAAAATTACTTTCTTAAAATAGCTTGCTTGAAGACACTCCAGGAAGATCAGTGAAATAAAGCAGTGGCTATCCATCTGAATGTATGCATACCCCTTCCAAGAGACTGCTTGCTGCAAGATCCAACTGCTTCTAGTCACATACTTGTAGTTGTCAGTAGGGAAGGAGTATATGGATACTCTATAGGGACTTTTACTCCTATTTCACCTGAATGCTTGTGGCGTCTCTGAAACACTGACACCCTTTTTAGTTTATTTATTAAATGAAACTTGTCCTTATTCATATTGGCTCTTCTCTGAATAATAACCTCAAACCAGTTGGTCTGATTAGGAGAACCTAGGTAATTCTGCTATCCCCAGTAACCACTGAAGACTTAAGAAATAGAATATAAAATATATATTTTTAGTTGTTTTGACAGTTCCAAAATGCCATTTATTAACTTATGCTTATACCAGCTATTTTTTTTAAATCTTCTATGTTTCAGGTAACATTCTGGCTACTGGCTTTATTACCGGGTGAATCCTTCCAGTTACCAAGATACACACAATACGT
Source organism: Homo sapiens (assembly GCF_000001405.40). NCBI lineage: Eukaryota > Metazoa > Chordata > Mammalia > Primates > Hominidae > Homo > Homo sapiens. The sequence continues at coordinate 20,434,480 of NC_000005.10, read as the reverse complement.
TTTATTCAATTTGCTATTGAAGTCTCTTTAGTCATAATTTCATTTACTTATTGAGGTCTCCTTCAGGGAATGTATTTTCCAGATCTCCTCTACTTTTTTCAAAACTTTACTGTTCACAGACACTCAAACTCCCAGCTTAACATACTCAAGCAGCTTGATCTGAATTTCTTCTCATACAGCTGTGTCACCTATTGTCTGCAATAATTCAATGAGACTTTCCTCATCAATGTTTTTAATTCCCTGATTTAACCTTATTTATTGAACATTTGGCCTACTCCAGACAGTGGTTTTAACTTGTCAGTATTTGTAACAATATCAGATGTAGGACCTGCCTTACCCACAACTGAGGTTGCTATTTCAAACAGGGAACTAAAGAGGGGTTTGCAGGCCTAAGGCACTATTCTAGGTACTGGGAATATGCCAGCTCAAAAAACAAACATTCCTAGTACCAGGGAGCTTAAATTCTCATACAAATGGTTGTTGAACTCAATGGTTTGAATTTACTCTTCATGAACTTTCACTACTTTTCTCATGTTAGACTCCTCGTTTATGACGCGTTTTCTTTACTCAGCTTTTATAGTACAAGAGTATACACGTTTCTACTCTCTCTAACATAATTTTGACTTACTGAGTGGGCTTTCTGAAACTTTACAATCCTTAAGAACCTATTCTCAGCCATAACCCTTTTTTTCTTTACATTTTCCTGCTGTATACTTTAAATTCTCATTTAGACTTGTCAATTTTTTTTGAAGATCAGTTGTAAATATACAATTAGTCCCCACTTTTCTATGCTTCTTTATTTACAAATAGTGTTTAGATATATCTAATTGCCTTTTCCATCTGAAACCTAACAGGTCAAATCCTGAGGTGCTCAACTCTCCTCCTCAAATATCTCCCATATGTTTTAAACATAATAACATATTAACACCTTCTTTTACATTACAACACCAACTACTCCTCTTCTCCTCAGACCATCGAGTTCATCATTAAAGCCTGTTAATGCTTTCTTTACAGTGTCTCTTATTTGCTGCTTGTCTCTAGATTTACAGGGTATATTGTCCAAAAAGAGGAAACTTGAGACAATACTTTATGTAGAAAACAAGGCTTGGTTTGATTTTTAAAATACAAATAAAAATTCAGTAGTTGGATATATTGCTTGGGTAGGCTAGAATCAACTAACAATTAAACATATATGTATATATAAATATACACACACACACACATATATTATGTGTATATATATATATATTTTACCTTAACTGCTCCTTTAAGAGCTTTATCCCAAATACTGTTGCATTCTTGGGTACTGGGGGCTAGATCTTCAACGTATAAATTGGAGAAGGACACAATTTAGCCCCTAAAGTGACCCAGGAAGAAATGTCGCCTATTGACCTCGGCTAATCCGTGACTAACATAGTGTTTTAGGCATTATACAATGCCTAAATATTATGTATTTTATATATATATATACACACAATGACTAAATAGTATACATACATTTATTATATATGCTGTCTAAAATATACATTATATATGTATAAAATATATATTATATCTATAAGAGGCCTAAAATATATATTATATAATTTTTTTTAATTTTTACACTTAATATGTCACTTTTAGGGGTTAAGATGTTTTCTTCCCCAATTTACATGTTGGAAATCTAACCCCCAATACCCCAGAATGCAACTGTATTAGGCCTTTAAAGCCTTTAAAGAAGCAGTTAAGTTAAAATAGGATTGTTAGCTCAGGCTGTAATTCAATATGACTGGTGTTCTTTAAAGCAGAGTAGATAAAGATACAGGCAACACAGAAAGAGGAAAGACCATGTGACGATACAGGGAGAAGACAGCCATCAGTGAGCCCAGGAGAGAGGCCTCAGAGTGAAATCAGCCCGGCCAATACCTTGTCCTTCCAAATTACTTTTGGAAGTAATTTCTTACTTCCAAAACTGTAAGAAAAAGCATTCCTGTTATCTAAGCCATAAAGACTGTGATATTTTTTATAAAATCTCTCTACTTAGAGTTCAACAAATGTTTATTACAACTGCTGAATTTAACCAAAGTTCCATCTGTACTAACTAGCTTTCCCTCTGTTCTGAGCTCAAACCCTTTACCAACTATTAGCATTCCAGTCTGACAATCACATTATCATTCTGTCTCAATGTCAAATTGGCATTAGGCTCTGAATGAGATTGAACAGCGGAAAATAATAATTAGTATTTTGGGGAAATTAAGTGCTAGAAATTAAGGCGCTGACACCTTATCTAATTGCCTCTATAACTATCCGTTTAATTTTTTTTCACTGATTCAGTAAATACCCCTAAACTTATACATGCTCAAGGAAATCACAATTTATTTCAGAACAGTATATTGTCACAGAGATTTTTGATCAACTGTGTCTAGTTTTCAGATAATCTGTGTCATTTAATGGTTCCAGGTTTGAGATCATTTCAGTTAACCTTTGGAGTAATCCATTTCATTTTCAAAAAGTGAGGCAAATACTGATTATTTCTCAGAGATGTTATTAGGGTTAGACGGAAAAAGTCACGGGGCAGTTTGTAAGAAGGATACTGCCTGGTGGATAAAATGCTTTCCACTACACATCGCTTTATGTACCAAACTGCTTTTAAACATTTGTTAAAAGAAAAACCTCAGATAAACGACATTTAATGAAGTTTATTTGAAGAAAGGATTATTAATAAATTGGGCAGCACTCAGAATCAGAAGAGGTTCAGAGTTCTGCCCAGCAAAATGAACAGAGAACTTTTATAGGCTGAATATGAAAGCAAAGTAGAAAAATTAACTGACTGGCCAGAGCAAGGCATCTACCTTATTTGGGCATAGTGTGATGAGGCATTTGCCTTTATTGGATATGGTCTGATGGAAGATTCCTAGTTGTATAACCAATAGGCTGGTTGGCTCTTTGTGATTGACTGAGGTTCTTTTCTTTTTCTATTCTTCTTTTCTTCTTCTTTTTTTTTTTTTTTTTTTGAGTTTCACTCTGTCACCCAGGCTGGAGTGCAGTGGCACAAACTCGGTTCACTGCAGCCTCCACCTTTCTGGGTTCAAACAATTCTCCTGCCTTAGCCTCCCAAGTAGCTGGGATTACAGGCGTGCACCACCATACCCACGTAATGTTTTTGTAATTTTAGTAGAGACAGAATTTCACCATATTGGCCAGACTGGTCTCAAACTCCTGACCTCAAGTGATCTGCACATCATGGCCTCCCAAAGTGCTGGGATTACAGGGGTGAGTTACTGCACCCGGCATCTGAGGCTCTTATCTTTTAAATCCAGTTGAAAGAATTGTTTCTCCAGTGTGCTTACTAAGAGCTATTAGTCTGAGATTGTCAGAGACTTCTGCTTATTTTAACACAATATTCAATAAGAATTAGTGGTAGATTTCACTATAAAATAGATTTTAAAATGCATAGCATATATAGAAATTATCATGACACATTTTTCCTTCAAACGGGTTACATTAACAAGTATAAATATATTAGGAGAAATAGATGCAGGAATGTATTGTCATTCTTTAGAAAACATTTTCGTAACATTTAGCATTTTTATGGAGTATTTATAAAAATGAGGACTTGGCCGTATTTTACTTAGATGAATGTATTATGTTATTATGAAATAGAAAATCTGAAAGATTCTGATTTGAAAGGAGAAAATAAATTAAATACTTCACATGGCCATCTTAGTGAAGTTAAATCCCTAGAGAATCTCCATTTATATTTTGGGTGTTGAATCTATTTGTCAATTTTATGTGCACTTCTGGCTCACCATCTGTTTAGCTTTGGTTTTTAATTCCCTAAGTGATAAAAACAAATATTATTTATTCCAATTATATTATGAAGAAAATACCACTTTGCTTCTTCACAAGTATGTGATATAAATTAAATCTGGGTTATAGGGAGACATTTTTATACCTGAGTCCAAGGTATATAGATGGTAAGCAACTTTCCAAGGTCATAAAATGTGTAGATAGCATGATGCTCCACTGATCAAAAACCTGTGTTGTGAGATGGCAGCTATGGGTGAGAATCTGGGATATAGAAGCCCAGAGCAGCATGATGACAGCTTGTCCACTTCACTCATCTTAACTTCAGTTTACCTATCTGTGAATGATGGTGATGTCACCTTACATGATGAAAACAGCTGGAGTCAATGTGTGCAAAGTGGCTGATGTGTCCGGCACATCAGAAGTGTCTGAAAAACTGAGTTTTTTATAAGGTGATAGGGATTGCATGCTTTCTTCATAGTACGCTGTTAATAATTTTAAAATTTTGAGCCAAAATCACAGGATTAATTAAGTTCTTATTTCAAAACCAATGTAGTGAATGTATTCTGTACAACACTCTTTACTAAAGCAGGTAAAAATATTCGTAGAGTGTTATGGCCCTAGTTCTTTGCGCCTCTCACTTAAGCATTATATAAACTTGAAGTAATCTATATTTCAAGAAAATTTGGTGGGAAATGAAGAAATTATATGAAAAGTGGAAGCTTCCTGGGAAATACTTGTATCAAAAATATCACTATAAGAAGGGGTTTCTTTGGAATGGACTTATTGTTATTAAATTACTTTGCTGAATAAATATGTACTAGTATTGGCATTATCATTTTACATATTAGCCTTTGTTTGGAATTAGAGTGGAGTAAAACATCTTTTATACAATGACACTATTACCTGAGGTTTCCTTATTTGCTATTTCCCTTTACTTTAATGTTTGAATATCACATTTACTGCAAAAATAACACATATGTTAAGCCTTATGCAAACTGCAGTTCTTACTTGCTCAAAGTAGCTCAGCCTTCCTTTCTTCAGCACATCATGCTGTTAGAAAAATATACAATCTTCATCATCCTTTTGCCCCCCCATTCATATTTGTGAGATTTGTACACAGTTTCAAGAACAATGAAGAAAAAGGGAAAGACAGTATGACAAAACACTTATTCAGTCCAGACCTGACTACAGATAAATAGGAGTTTATCATTTATATGAGATTTTCTTTGTTGGGTTAAATCATAAAGTAGATCAAATTAGTGATTCTGGGAATAACTGTTGCTTTCACAATCTGTGAAAGGAAAATATACAATGACTTTTCCTTCTAGAACCATGGAATGGTGTTATTCTCCTCTTTCTCTCTGCTCTTCTTTTTTATTAAACACTGATTTAAAGAGCATGGTAACTTATGTGATTCACCTTCTCCCCATCTCCTTCAGTTGAATCCTTGTGGTAAGAAAAGTGTTGTGAAGTGGTAGCATACTTTTCTCAACCTGCAGAGTCAGGATTCTACTGGAATTTTGAATGGAAACTGGGATGAGCTAGGGACTTCAAAGAACAATATCACAGTCTTTCTTGAGGAGAGAGATTAGATGAGAACACCTTAAAAAAAAAAAGAGGTATCAGCAAAAAAAATAGACGAGTGTTTGTGCTCTTTTACACTCACCTACCCAACATCAATATTTTATAGCATTCTCCCTTGGGAAATGATAGAAGATTATATCTTCACTCAGTAAAAACGCACATAGCTCCCTTTAAGAGATTGCCTGTTACCATCTGGATGATGGGAAATTCACTAATGGTCACACTTTTCAAGAAAATTCTTTCTAATTACTTTTTCTTGCTTTATTGTTTTCCTATATCTGAGAAAAAAATGCCACTAAAAGGTAGCAAATGAAGTGCTGAATAACGCAGATTATTTGTGGTCCATTTTGCTTATATACGTCTTATTGTAAAACACATTGGGTCACAAACATATGAAAAAAAGTGCATCATCACTGGTCATTAGAGAAGTGCAAATCAAAACCACGACGAGATACCATCTCACGCCAGTTAAAATGGCAATTATCAAAAAGTCAGGAAACAACAGATGCTGGCGAGGATGTGGAGACATAGGAACCCTTTTACACTGTGGTGGGAGTGTAAATTATTTCAACCACTATGGAAGACAGTGTGACAATTCCTTAAGGATATAGAACCAGAAATATCATTTGATCCAGCAATCCCATTACTGGGTTTATACCCAAAGGTTTATAAATCATTCTACTATAAAGACCTATGCACATATATGTTTACTCAGCACTATTTACAATAGCAAAGACTTGGAACTAACCCAAATGCCCATCAATGATAGACTGGATAAAGAAAACGTGGCACATATACACCATGGAATACTATGCAGCCATAAAAAAGAATGAGTTCATGTCCTTTTCAGGGACATGGATGAAGCTAGAAGCCATCATTCTCAGCAAGCTAACACAGGAACAGAAAACTAAACAGCACATGTTCTCACTCATAAGTGGGAGTTGAGCAATGAGAACACATGGACACAGGGAGGGGAACATCACACACCAGGGCCTGTTGGTGGGTGGGGGAAAAGGAGAGGGAGAGCATTAGGACAAGTACCTAATGCACGTGGGGCTTGAAACCCAGATGATGGGTTGATAGGTGTAGCAAACCACCATGGCACTTGTATACCTATGTAACAAACCTGCACGTTCTGCACATGTATCCTAGAACTTAAAGTAAAATTAAACAAAAAAACAAACACGTTGGGTCAAAAAGAGTTTGATAATGTTCTGATTAGAAAAGTGGCAACTTTCAGCTAACAAATTTTCAATTTCAAAGTAAGCCTAAATGTTGCATTTCTTCATACAGACTTTTTTTCTGAAACATTAGGATTTATTAAAGAGGATCCATTTCTAGTATTATTTTCCTTTCCAGATGAGCATAAATCGTAATCACTTATAAAGTCAGTGGAAAGAATAAGTAGAAATGCTGCTTACTGAAGTAAGGAGGAAATCGGCTGAATTGCAATTTAGACCAATGTCCATTTTACACCTAATGTGTAATAAATTTTACCAATTACTGAAATCAGTGCTCAAAAAATTCACCAAGTATAAGCAGAAACAGAGTGAATATGTGTGACCTTTAAAATATCTGGTGAAAACAAAAAGTCTTAGAATTCTTGCTCATATTTGAAAATTTGCTTGAATTATATATTCAGTATAATGTATCATATATGTTTCAATAGAAAATACATTTCTCTTCCTATTTCAAATTATTTTGAGTAAAATAAGCCTTTTAAGATAATATGTGATGTTTATTCTATTAGCCCTGGCTGTCTTCAAATATTTGTTTCTTTGTAAAATAACATGAACACTTTCTAAGATACATTTTCTCTACTGTATAATTATTCTAAAATCTAAGTAAATTTTTTGAATTCAGTATAAATAGAGCAAATTTAGGATTGTATTTAGTTATCATACAAAACCATTTGTAATGACTTTTAACTTCTTTTCCTGACTGAATATAAAGTAGAATATTAAACGAAATGTAATATATCAAATATCAAATAAAAATATTTAAAAAGCTGCCCAGAGTTTTCACTGCTGTAATTTTGTGATTGCTATACTTTAATCTGCCACTTAATGAGTAATTATATTGTCTGAGCGCTATTCTAAGCACTTCAATCACAATCCAATTTAATTTTTCCACCAGTTCAATGAGATGAAATTTGTGATAATCTCCATTTTTAGATGGAGAAAATGAGTTTTCAAGGAGTGAAATATCTTGAATAGATCATTGACATAGCCAGATTTTACAGAAGCCATACCCTTGTCAGCCCTGCAAATTGTTTGCAACCTATCTTTCTATTAGAAGGTAGGGGGTGCATATCATTAAAAGTTATATTGTTATTTAATTTAGTTTTATTTGAAAAAGTTTCAATAATAATGCCATAAAGCTTTTTAGAAGTGACAGAGATCCTACTGGGAGTTGAAGCAATCATGTACAGCAGTTGGTAGATTTCCTATGAATGTGCCTAGGACTCTGACGGGCTAATTTACCCTTCAGGATGACCTAAAACTGGCGTGACTTTGATGTTTACAGTTTATTCATATATGTATGTGTGTGATTAATATCTGATAATACAGTGGATTAAAAAGTGGAAAGCTCCAGAAAGTTTTTTTTGTTTCTTTTAAAAAGTTTTTGTTGAGAAAAATAATATTAATCCATATTTACTCATAAATAGAAGACTGGTATAAATAAGGGATGATAAAATACAGAAATACGGTTAAAAGAGTAAAAACTGCAATAATTTCTCAAGAATCCTCTAGTAGTTTTTCATTGCACTCATAAAGTGTCTTTTCCTGAGAATAATAAGAATTTGGCTAATAATTATCATGCATTGCATATCACCAAATACAGTTTTAAGTTATCAATAGGAATTATCTTATGTAATTTCCATTAAGAATATTATTCTGGTCTATTAATATCCTGCTATTCAATATGAGAGAACTGAGCCACAAAGTTGTCATGTAACTTGGCCAAGGTCACACAATAAGTGATGGAGATGGAATTAGGAATAATGTAATCTGTGTTCAGAGCAAACAAAGCTCTGATATATTGCCTAATATTTGATGAAAATTATTGTTAGCACATTGGTATTGATTTAAAAAATCGGCATAAAATATTATAATTGTATCCAATTTGGATTTTTACCTATTTGGCATAGAGTCTATTCACAAGAAAATGTGTTATCTGGGAGAGAATGCATGTAAATAGCAGCCTACAACCATCTGTTTTATCAAGCCAGTTAAAACAACAACAATAAAAATGATAGAAATAAACCAATTAATTCTTTAAAGTATAAGATTACAGAATTCAAAATATTAATATGTATGGCTGAATTTCAAGCTAAATATGACAGATTGTTTAAAATCAATATAATATTATATCTTGTAATATTCCACAGCTAAGAGTGAGGAATTATAATAAGAATAGCAAAAATCAGCTCTGCGCCCAATCTCCAGATTGCTACACACCAAAAGCAACTATTTTCAATTATTTTTACTATTTAAGATTTGTCAATTTTAGACATTATCAACCTATGTGTTATATGGAACTATCTTAATACATGTACCTTCAGTTATAATATTCTCCACATCAAATTTTGATTCACTCTGTATCCAGTTTTAATTTACATGACTATATAAATATTTTCTATTGTTAACACCTGTAGTATACATTTTATCTTTCTTTTCTTTCTTTTTTTTGTTTTTTTCTAGAGTTTATATTGCCTTATTTTTATTTATTTTTTTGAGACAGAGTCTCACCCTCTCACCTAGGCTGGAGTGCAATCGCGCAATCTTGGCTTACTGCAACCTCCACCTCCCATGTTGAAGCAATTCTCCTGCCTCGCCTCCCGAGTAGAGTAACTGGGATTACAGGCATGCGCCACCACACCCAGCTAATTTTTTGTATCTTTAGTAGAGACACACTTTCACCATGTTGGTCAGGCTGGACTCAAACTTCTGACCTCGTGATCTGCCTGCCTCAGCCTCCCAAAGTGCTGGGATTATAGGCGTGAGTCACCGTGCCCAGCCTTATTTTAATTTTTTTTTAACTCTAAGACTAAGTCTTTCATATTATCCGGACAGTTTCTAAGGGAAATATCAATAGAATTTTCCAGGTACCAAAATATGTCATTTTCTGGTTGACCCAGTCCTCATGTTTGTGTGTCCTGAGAACACCTCTTCTGGTGCTCTGCCAACGTTTGCTCTTATCCAGGAGGGACTGATGAATGTGCTCACTGCATTCTGTGGTTCTGGGATTCTGATTGACTGAAAATTCCCTCTGCCTCTCTCTTGTTTTTCCTAGTGTCTGAAACCATGTTTTCCTCCATCTTGGTTCACTTCCTTTTTTTTTTTTTTTTTTTTTTTTTTTAGACAGAGTCTTGCTCTATTACCCAGGCTGGAGTGTAGTGGTGGTATCTCTGCTCACTGCAACCTCCATCTCCCAGGATCAAGAGATTCTTGCTTCAGCCTCCTGGATAGCTGGGATTACAGGCATGCACCACCACGCCTGGCTAATTTTTGTATTTAGTAGAGACAGGTTTTGCTGTGTTGGCCAGGCTGGTCTCGAACTCCTGACCTTAAATGATCTGCCTGCCTTGGCCTCCCAAAGTGCTGGGATTACAGGTGTCAGCCACCGCACCAGGCCTCACTTCCTCATTTTGATGAAACAGAATTTATAATATTGTTCTTGGAAACAAAAAAAAAAGATAATCTGAAACTCTGTAGCTCTGAAACATCCTTGTTCTTTCCTTCACATTTGTATGATAATATGATGGTGCTGTTGGAAAAAACATACGGCCTGTGTGTTTCAGATCCTCTCGATGAAAACAATATTTTCCCTCAGATTTTTTTCACAGAAACTTCTTTTTTATCCATAGAGTTCTGAAATTTCAGAGTAATTTGTCTTAGCAGAGGATACTTGTCTTCAATCCTGAATAAAAATTCCTTATTAAGAATTATTACTTTTTTCTTTTAGTAGAACTCTTATTATTAGATTCTTTGTGTAGTCCTTCTGGGTTGATCGTCTCATTTTTTTCTGCTGTAATTGTATATTTTATTTATACTTTTTGAAGATCTTCACTTCATCTTCCAAGTTCTTTACTGACTTTCATGTTTGTTACTTTTTTTCTATTTCTAGGACAATTTTTTTTTTTTTTTTTTTTTTTTTTGAGACGGAGTCTCGCTCAGTCGCCCAGGCTGGAGTGCAGTGGCGCGATCTCGGCTCACTGCAAGCTCCACCTCCCGGGTTCATGCCATTCTCCTGCCTCAGCCTCCCGAGTAGCTGGGACTACAGGCGCCCATCACCACGCCCGGCTAATTTTTTTTGTATTTTTAGTAGAGACGTAGTTTCGCCGTGTTAGCCAGGATGGTCTCGATCTTCTGACCTCGTGATCTGCCCGTCTTGGCCTCCAAAAGTGCTGGGATTACAGGCATGAGCCACCGCGCCCGGCCTCTAGGAAAATTTTTGATTCTACCGTTGTTACAGTTTACTTTTCTTATTTTATGAATGTTATATCTTTTCACATCTCTTTGCGTGTAGCACTTATATTTCCTTTGCATCTTTTTTCTACTTGCAGTATTGTTGCTAATTCTTCTGTATTGCATTTTGCGTTTCTTTATTTTGGTTATTGACTTTCAAGACACAGTTTTTCCACAACTCTCTGACAATATTTGCTGTGTATTTCAATTGAACAAACATTTCTTAAAATCCTTATTATATGCTCCAATTTCGTGTATGTGTACATGGGTATATGGATATGCCCAGCAGTAAGGAAGGAAAAGAAATTGATGAGATAGCAGAGTGATGACGTGGCAAGCTATGCTTAGGGTTGAAAATCCCATTATCAGAATCTGTTGTCTTTCCTAAAAGGCATTGAGCTTTTCTGTTAAAGGCTCATTCAATCTCCTGCCTAGTGGGCGCATGCCTGCTTGCTGGATTGCCAGAGCTGAACTGGAGAAGGAGACCAAAGGTTCCAGCGCGCAGTGCACAGACGTCCATTCATTCTCTCCGTTTTTCATTTGGAATATCACCACTTGCTTTATCTGTGCTTAGTGTTTCCACCAAATCATTTTCTCTCCTTCAACTCCTCTGGAGAAAAAAATCTTTCTCTCCAGAGAGGGGAGGAGGGAAGAGTAGGGATACTGGTGAAGATTTGAGGGTCTACCTGTGCCATGTAGTAACTTTGAAATCATCTCCTTCTTTTAATCTGGCATAAACCAACCTTCCCAACCAACCTTCTGACTTCTGCTATAAATTGAACTTGATTATGAGCTTTATAAGTGCTCCGTGGTGTGAATTGGTAGATATGGTTAATATTTCTCTCTATAAACACTTAAAGTTACCTTTTGTCCATTCTGGGAAGTTGCTTTTTAGTTTTTCACCTACTTTCAGAAATTATATATTGTGATTAAGGTTATGAATGCCACATATTATCATTAAACTTTAGCATAAGTTTTGATTTTTGAATTTGTGTTGGGGAGAGTGCAAAGAATAAGAAACAATATTTTTATTGTTATGTAAAAACTGGCTTCAGTTAAATTTTCAAATAAATTTGGTTGCAAAACTAAAATTTATATGTAATATAAAAATCCATTCACAGAAAACAACACATTTATCTTACATTATTAATTTAATATAATAATGTGTCACATAAGTAGGTATAGAACTACACCTGGCTATAAAGATTAATATTATTAAGTCATCCATAAACTGAGCTATTTAAAATCATGTTTAAAAACATTTTGAAAGTGTACTTTATTTAAAATAAGTATCTTATCACATATAATACAAAATATGATCACATGTATTTTTAATTCCTTAGAAATTAAGGGATCTGTGAGCCTTAAATATTTAGACATGATAACCCATGTTCCTTTCTCTTCCTGATTATGTTACAAAAAAGTTAAAAGGCTATTTTTTCATCAAGTTTGACTATAACTAAAATATGTAGATACATTTGGAAAAACAAAATTTTTTTGTCCCACAAAGTAGTTAATTCTGTTTCTTCCTAGAATTTTCATACCATACACATTTGAAGTTAGAATATGAATTACAGGAAAACTATTAGTCTGATGTGTCATTACTATAAAAATGCCTCCCTAATTAACTTGTCCACGAAAAAGAGCCAGATAATATTTGGTTATAGAAATGGATGAAACAGGTTTTTAAATGATGAGTATAGGTATAAAGCCAAAGTCCTCAAATAATATTAGTACAATGTGTACTAATGTCTGTGTTTGGTGAATTTTTACATGTATGTGTGTATACATGTGTATATATATATATATGATTGATATATACATATATAATTTATGTATTTATACTGTTTTGTTGTATTCAGCCTATTTCATTATTTTACTTTGTTCCAGTACTTGAACTTTAATTTGATTTAATGAAACACATTCAAGTTTTACTTTTTTAATAAAGATACTTACCTGTGAAATCCTTCATGCTAACCCATGACTCTGCAGTTTTTAAGTTTTAGTGACACAAATCATTTTTATTCCATTTGAAATATTTAATTTAAAAAGGAACTGATCATTCTTAATATAAAAATTTCAAAATAGAACTTTATCTTATATCTAGGAATGTTCTGTATTTCATATTCATTTCAGCACTTACTCGTAAAAGGGCCAAGTCTGGTAGGAATGATCTTACTGTTGTTGACACTCTTGATTGACACCCAACAGTTACATCTCATTCCCTTTTCTCAGGCTTCCCTCCATCTGAAAGAGCATAAAAAAAAAAACCAAGTGATTGTTTTCTCAATCGTCATCAAGGTTAAAAGTGGATACGTGTTCTCTGCTAGCCAAGGAGGAACCTGTTGGGGGTTTCTGGGAAAGCTATTCCTTCTCTGATAGCGGAAGTGCAAGAGCTTTTAAGCTGCTCCTCATCCCTGCTCCCTGCTCCTGAATATGCTGATGGTGCACAAAGCTACAGAGGGGATCCTGTGTCAGTCAGATGACAACAAGTGAATCAAATGCCTGAGTTCTTGGTGACAGCATTAAACAAGGCAAACTTCAGGTTTTGTGATAAATAGGGAAAAAATCAAAAAGGATTTAAAGATCATACTGTTACTTGCTGGCAAGCTCACCTTAAAAGAAGGAACAATCAAGCCTTATTAAAGCAGGAAAAAACAAACAGGAATTTTTAGGAAAGTATTTAATTTTAGGATAAAGATCTAATGTTAAAAATTTCAGTTTTCGTGAAAAAGCAGTAACTATGCAAAATCAATGACTATATAGTGAAAGAAGATTTTTTTGCTGACTTACTACTTTCAGGCAAAATGCCATAAAAGTTATTATAGTTCTGAATTAATAGATAACTGCATTCGAAAGAGGCAATAAAATAGTTTAAGATTTTTACAGGGAATGAAAAGATTCAATAGTTTCTTGTAGACTCTTTAAATGACATATACAAAGAGATTTAAAGTAATTTTGGTTTTAGTTTATGGTTAGGACTAGGGCAAAATACAAAAGACCTTATTTATGTCTTTTGAAACTTTATTACTGCCAGGCAAGTAATATATGTTTACTGGGGAACTGTTGTAACTTAGAGTCATTTTATTTCACAAGTATTTATCAGTAAATGCTTTATTTTTCACAATAAAATGGTCCTGAGGGAATAAGCAAAAGCTTAAGTCGTCTTCTTTTTATAACGTTAAAATCTATTAAATATATAAAAGAATATAACGTTGGAATACATCGATTTTTCCACTTGTTGGTATATTGCTTTGTTTTTATTTCATTGTTGGTATTCTATAAAGAATAAGTCCTTAACTCTTATCATTTCTAGTGGATGGATTTAACCTTTACAAAGAGCAAGTGCCCAAAGTTTGTAAAGAAGCTTCTGAGATACTGTGAACCACGTTTCGTGCAGAGAGCATCAGCGAGTTTGGCGTATTAACAAGGCTGTTTTAAAAACATCTTCAAAGTAGCCACATGACATTCACTGATTGTATCGCGTCTTACCACTGTTCTGGTGTTAATTCAACAAAATGCAGCCATTGGCAGCAGAGTCTCCAGGCTCACATAATCTGCTGTGGTGGTGAATGTTCAGCATTACTCTAAGAGTACTAAAAATTCACAAGAACCAAATGAATGGAAAAAATACAGTTCCTGTTGGATAAATCGAAAATATATTACCAGAAAAGTTATTATTTAATGAGATTGTTTTTCAGAAAGAAAGGAAATCTGTCGTTTTTTCTGAACAATTAATATATAAGTAAAGGAATATAAAACATAAATCATGAAAGTGGATAGACCTTGTCTACCCATTTATATTTACAAGATATATATGTATATATTCTAGTTAGCTTGAAGTGCCAAAAGAGTCCCAGGGACAGGCGCGGCGGCTCACGCCTGTAATCCCAGAACTTTGGGAGGCCGAGGCGGGAGGATCATGAGGTCAGGAGATCGAGACCATCCTGGCTAACAGGGTGAAACCCCGTCTCTACCAAAAATACAAAAAATTAGCTGGGCGTCGTGGCGGGCGCCTGTAGTCCCAGCTACTGAAGGGGAGCTGAGGCAGGAGAATAGCGTGAACCCGGGAGGCAGAGCTTGCAGTGAGCCGAGATCTTGCCACTGCACTCCAGCCTGGGCGACAGAGCGAGACTCCATCTCAAAAAAAAAAAAAAAAAAAAAAAAAAAAAAACAGAGTCCCATACCCTGGGTGGTTGGCTTAGAAACAACGGAAATTTATTTCTCACAGTTCTGGAGGCTGGAAGTCTGAGATCAGAGAACCCGTGGAGCCAGCATGGTTGGGTTCTGGTGAAGGGTGTGTATTAGTCCGTGTTCACGCTGCTAATAAATACATACTCAAGACTCGGTAGAAAAAGAGGTTTAATTGGACTTACAGAGGCCTGGGCAGCCTCAGAATCATAGCAGCAGACAAAAATCACTTCTCTCCTGGCCGAGGCAAGAGAAAAAAATTGAGAAGCAAAAGCGGAAACCCCTGATAAGCTCATCAGATCTCGTGAGACTTACTAACTATCAAGAGAATAGCACCGGAAAGTCCCCTTGATTCAATTACCTCCGCATGGGTCCCACCCACAACACGTGAGAATTCTAGGAGATACAATTTCAAGTTGAAATTTGGATGGGGACACGGCCAAACCATATCCCTCATCTAGTTTGCGCAGTACCAACCTCTTGCTCTGTCCTCGCATAGTGAAAATATGGAGAGAGAATGTTTGGTGTCTGTTGTATAAAAGCATTAATCCCATTCATGAGGGCTCAACCCTCAGGATCAATTCATCTCCCAAAGGCCCCACCTCCTAACACTATCACATTAGGACGTGAGGATTTCAACGTATGATTTTGGGGTGACACAAACATTCAGCCCATTGCATATACACACATCTATATTCATATGCATATTTACAAATACCCCTTTTTATACGCACACAGTTAAACTTAAGTTGTCTTACAATTAATCATTATTAATTGTACAAAAAAATTATTGAAATCTTCATTTGTTTTAAATATATCCATTGGGTTTTTAAGGGCTAAACAAAAAGAATAAAATTGAAAAACCCACCTATATGTTTGACTTAGAATTCCTACATAAAAATGAAGACTTCATTACAGGGTATTTAGTAGCAAATGTCACTCTAGGAAGGTATGCAGGGTTACAGTGTGTGTACATGCGCATGTGTTTAACCGACTCTCCCCTGGAGGAGTTGTATGCAAAGAGGCAATGTAAACCAGGGACGAAGTTAAAAAGACACTAGTCTTGGCCGGGCGTGGTGGCTCATGCCTTTGGGAGGCCGAGGTGGGCGGATCACCTGAAGTCAGGAGTTGGAGACCAGCTTGTCCAACATGAGGAAACCCCGTCTCTACTGAAAATACAAAAAAAAAAAAAAAAAAAAAAAATTAGCCAGCAGTGGTGGCAGACACCTGTAATCCCTGCTACTCGGGAGGCTGAGGCAGGAGAATTCCTGGAACCCCAGCGGCGGAGGTTGCGGTGAGCCAAGATTGCGCCACTGCACTCCAGCCCCGGCCGACAACAGCAAGAGTCTGTCTCAACAAAAAATAAAAATAAAAAACAAAAAATAAAAGGCACTAGTCTCTTTATCTGTGGAAAATGTTCAACTTCCCCGTTCCTCATTTCTGTAGTGTGAATCTAAAACTATAATCCTCCTCATAGGATTGTGTAAACTATATTAATTTTCATACGTGAAAAGTGCTTAGGTTAGAAGGGAGCCTGGTATGTCCTCGGAACTACAGAAAAGTCTAATTACTATGATGTTATAACTATTTGGGAGAATGGAAACTTTTGTACCTGTCTCTAATTTAGAGATTCCTAGTGTATCCTTTGATAAGGGTATGAGTAGGATCAGCATACTCCATTCTTTCTCATCTGCAGGAATATATGACTGATGATACAGTGCACCATATTTTATGTGATTTTGGAAGAGTAAAGGAAGCAGTGCTTAGCTGTCTTCTCTAACTGTCTTCAATTTTTTCAGCCAGAGTTTTTTCATAGGACCAAATAAATGACATGTCGTAGAGTTTGTTTTATAAAGGAATCCCTTCCTCTGATTACTACATACACTTGAACACCAAAATGGGGTTTCACCATATTTATTTACTTCCCCAATACCTTCTAATGCTAGTTTTATAATTCTGGAAACAGACCATTGGAAATCATAGAATTGTGCTAAAAGCATAAATATATATTAGTTCTAAGAGTCATATACTTTTTCTATCTTTGCTGAAATAAACTTATTTTATTCTGAAGATTTGCTATTAGTAATAAGCAAAAAGGAATTGATGAAGAATTCCAGGGAAATAAATATCTAGGAAACAATATTACCATTGTTGCCAAGAAAAATTGTGTCTATAGCAGTCCTGTTATATTTATAATACATACTTTCGGGCAACAGAACAGCTACGTTATTAAATATACATCATGGCTTACAAACTATCAGCAAATTACATAGCATGAAAGAAAAAATATCTAACAAAAATGATTCATTAATACATATTTCTATTTTCAGGCTAGCCACTTAACTATAAATTTAGACCTTGCATATTGGAAATCAAATGGTTGTTATCCATACACTTATGAGGAAACTCATTTAATGTGTGAGCTGGAAGCTGATATATGAAGTTGAATATTATTTTTCTCTACTATAGTGCTTTTTCCTAGGAATAACTTTTTACTATATACTATAATGGGCACATTATTGAAAAATCTTATTCAATCTATTTTTTACCCTCCTTCCCTAAGCTAAATAATCTGGCTCTTTTTACTGATCCTGGAATTATTTTTTCATGTCTCAGGGCATATCTCCAAATTATCTTTAAGTTTTCTCATGCTGTAAAGAACCTTATCATACCACTTCATATCAAGAATTAAGTGAGTGTAGACTTTTTCATTACTAGTCTTTTATTCAAGACTCTATGTTCCATGAGATCTACTATTATCTATGCATTTTGTGGTCCATATTTCCACTGAGTCAGCCTTTTGCGCATAATTTAATAACTAAAAATATTACCAAAGTCTGTGACTATTTCATGTATTTCCTTTTTATTTATACCACTTAAATGAAATGCTAATCTCTCTTTCATTCTCAGACTGATTTCCATAAGTGGTATCACCTTTCTGAATATAGAAACCTATTAATTCTATATGCTTTCCCTTAAACTTACTTTTTTCTGTAAGCACATTCTTATTATGATGCATTTTCATTTGATTTCTGAAAACTTAGAATTATAGGCTTCTCTAAAATAAAATATAATTACTTAATTCTTCATAATCTGACAAAGTCATTTCTCTATTAATAGAACAGACTGATCTGTTTTTCTGCAAATTTAATTACAAACTCAAATTTATGTACTTGTGAATTTACTTTCTATGATGACCTTGTAATTTAAATACAAGTTATTAACTACAATAAGATTAAGTTCATTTTTCCTTTCCATAAATATTGACATAATATGCAGAATTTAATCATTTTTATTGTAGAAAGAACACTTAACATGATATCTACTCTCTGAACAATTTCTAAATATACCATATAGAATTAACTATAGGCACAAAGTTGTACAGCCATTTTCTAGAACGTACTTATCTTGCATAACTGAAACATCATACTCATTGAATAGTAACTCCTATTTTTTCCTTGCCCCAGTTTCTGGCAACCACCATTCTGTTTTGTTCTTATGAGTTTGGCTATTTTTAATATAACATATAAATGGAATAGTGTAGCATTTGTCCTTCTGTGACTGGCTTATTTCAATAAGCATAATGTTCTCATGATTCTTCCACATTGTTGCAGGTTGTAAGATTTTCATCTTTTTATTTTTTTATATATTTATTTATTTTTATTTTTTTGAGATGGAGTCTTGCTCTGTCACCCAGGCTGGAGTGAGAGCAGTGGCGCAATCTCAGCCACTGCAACTTCCGCCTCCCAAGTTCACGCCATTCTCCTGCCTCAGCCTCCCGAGTAGCTGGGACTGCAGGTGCCCACCACCATGCCTGGCTAATTTTTTGTATTTTTAGTAGAGGTGGAGTTTCACCATGTTAGCCAGGTTGGTCTCAATCTCCTGACCTCGTGATCCTCCCACCTCGGCTTCCCAAAGTTCTGGGATTACAGGCATGAGCCACCGCAACCAGTCAGATTTTCATCTTTTTTTAAGGCTGAATGATATTCCACTGTATGTATGTACTACATTGAATGATATTCCATTGTATGTATGTACTACACTTTCTTTTTTCATTCATCTGGTTTTAATTTTATTTTTTATTTTTTTGGAGTGCAGTGGTGTGATCTCTGCTCACTGCAACCTCCGCCTCCCAAGTTCCAGCAATTCACCTGCCTCAGCCTCCCGAGTAGCTGGGCTTCCAGGCACACACCACCATGCATGGCTAATTTTTTTGTATTTTAGTAGAGACAGGGTTTCACCATATTGCCCAGGCTGGCCTCAAACTCCTGAGCTCAGGGAATCCACCCGCCTCAGCCTCCCAAAGTGCTAGGATTACAGGCGTGAGCCACCCCTCCTGGCCTCATTCATCTGTTTATGGGCATTTAGGTTGTTACCACATCTTGGCTGCTATGCATACTGCTGCAATTAACATGTTAGTATCTTTTGGATATACCAATCTCAATTTTTTTTGGTAAATACTCAGAAGTGTGATTCTGGGTTATATAGTAATTACATTTTTAATTTTTTGAGAAACCTCTATGCTGTTTTCCATTGTGGCTACACCATTTTGCATTATCACCAAGAGTGCACAAGGGTTCCAATTTCTCTAGACCCTCAGCAACATTTGTTTTTGCTGTGGTTGCTATTGCTGTTGTTGTTTTGATGATAGCCATTCTCACAGGTATGAAACGATATCTCATTATGGTTTTGATTTGTATTTCACTCATGATTAGTGATGTTGACCACCTTTTCACATACCTGTTGGCCATTTCTATGTCTTAAAAAAATTCATATATTTTGTTCATTTTTCAATCAAGTAGTTAGGTAATTGGCATTTATTTATTTATTTTTTACATTTGGATTTACTAGAGTAGGTTGGTTACATGGATATATTGTGTAATGCTGGGGTTTGGGCTACTATTGAATCCATCACCCAAAGAGTGAGAGAGTGAACATAATAATAGGAAGTTTTTCAACCCTTTTCCTTCCTCCTCAATTTTGGGAAGCCCAGTGTCTATTGTTTCCCTGTTTATGTTCCTGTATAGCCATTGTTTAGGTCCCGCTTTTAAGTGAGAGCAGGCAGTATTTGATTTTCAGTTTCTGTGTTAATTCACTTAAGATAAGGACCCCCAACTGCATTCATATTGTTGTAAACGAAGTGATACCATTATTTTTTATGAGCACCTGGGGTGATTCCAAGACTTACTATTGTGAATAGTGCTACGATAAACATAAAAGTGCAGTTGTCTTTTTGGTAGAATGTTTTATTTTCCCAGTAATCAGATTGCTGAGTCAAATGGTAATTCTGTTTTCAGTTCATTAAGAAATTTCCAAACTGCTTTCCACAGGAGCTGAACTAATTTCCATCTCCAGTAACAGTACATAAGTGTTCCCTTTTCTCAAAATCCTTGCCAACATATGTTGTTTTTTGAAATTTTAATAATAGCCAATTTGGATCCCTTCCTTACACCTTATATAAAAATTAATTCAAGATGGATTCAACACTTAAATGTTAGACCTAAAACCATAAAAACCCGAGAAGAAAACCTAGGCAATACCATTCAGGTTACAGGCATGGGCAAGGACTTCATGACTAAAACACCAAAAGCAATGGCAACAAAAGCCAAAATAGACAAATGGAATCTAATTAAACTAAAGAGCTTCTGCACAGCAAAAGAAACTACTATCAGAGTGAACAGGCAACCTACAGAATGGGAGAAAATTTTTGCACTCTACCCATCTGACAAAGGGCTAATATCCAGAACCTACAAAGAACTTAAACAAATTTACAAGAAAAAATCAAACAATCCCAACAAAAAGTGGGCAAAGGATATCAACAGACACTTTTCAAAAGAAGACATTTATGCAGCCAACAGACACATGAAAAAATGCTCATCATCACTGGTCGTCAGAGAAATGCAAATCAAAACCACAATGAGATAATATCCCACACCAGTTGGAAGGGCTATCATTAAAAAGTCAGGAAACAACAGGTGCTGGAGAGGCTGTGGAGAAATAGGAATGCTTTTACACTGTTGGTGGGAGTGTAAACTAGTTCAACCATTGTGGAAGACAGTGTGGTAATTCCTCAAGGATCTACAGCTAGAAATACCATTTGACCCAGCCATCCCATTACTGGGTATATACCCAAATGATTACAAATCATGCTACTATAAAGACACATGAACATGTATGTTTATTGCGGCACTATTCACAATAGTGAAGACTTGGAACCAACCCAAATGTCCATCAATGATAGACTGGATTAAGAAAATGTGGCACATATACACCACGGAATACTATGCAGCCATAAAAAAGGATGAGTTCATGTCCTTTGTAGGGACATGGATGAAGCTGGAAACCATCATTCTGAGCAAACTATCCCAAGGACAGAAAACCAAACGCTGCGCGTTCTTACTCAAAGGTGGGAATTGAACAATGAGAACACTTGGACGCAGGGCGGGAGCATCACACACCGGGGCCTGTCGTGGGGTGCGGGGATTGGGGAGGGATAGCATTAGGAGAAATACCTAATGTAAATGACAAGTTAATGGGTGCAGCAAACCAACATGCACATGTATACATATGTGACAAACCTGCATGTTGTGCACATGTACCCTAGAACTTAAAGTATAATTTTAAAAAAAGAATAATAGCCAATTTGACTGATGTGAGATGGTATCTCATTGTGGCTTTAATTTGAATTTCTCTGATGGTTAGTGATGTTGAGCATTTTTTAATAAGTTTGTTGGTGTGTACGTCTTCTTTTGAGACGTGTTCGTGTCCTTTGCCCAGTTTTTAATACAATTTTTTGTTGTTGTTTTGTTTTAGTTCCTTCTAGATTCTAGGCATGGGTTCTTTGTTGGATGCATAGTTATCAAATATTTCTTCCATTCTGTAGGTTGCCAGTTTGCACTGTTTCTCTTGTTATGCAGAAGCTCTTTGCTTTAATTAAGTCCTGTTTGTCAAATTTTTTGTTGTTGCATTTGCCTTTGAGGTTTTAGTTACAAATTATTTGCCTATGCCAATGTCCAGAAG
This sequence comes from Homo sapiens, assembly GCF_000001405.40. NCBI lineage: Eukaryota > Metazoa > Chordata > Mammalia > Primates > Hominidae > Homo > Homo sapiens. The sequence continues at coordinate 20,412,425 of NC_000005.10, read as the reverse complement.
AGTCTTTCCTAGGTTTTATTCTAGAGTTTTTATAGTTTGAGGACTTTATTCCATCTTGAGTTAATTTTGGTTTATGTTAGGAGATACGTGCCCAGTTTATTTCACTGCTTATGGCTATCCAGTTTTCCCAGTATCGTTTATTGAACACTATGTCCTTTCCCTATTGTTTATTTTTGTAGATTTTGTCAAAGATCCGTTGGTTGTAGGTGTGTGGCTTTGTTTATGTTCCATTGATCTATGTGACTATTGTTGTACTGGTCCCATGTTGTTTTGGTTACTATGACATTGTAGTATAGTTATAAGTCTGTAATGTGATGCCTCCAGCTTTGCTATTTTTGCTTAGGACCGCTTTGTCTATTGAGGCTGTTTTTTGATACCATATTAATTTTAGGATTGCTTTTTCTAATTCTATGAAAAGTGATGTTGATAATTTGATAGAAATTGCAGTGAATCTGTAGATTGCTTTCAGCAGTATGACTATTTTAATGATATTGATCCTTTCATTCCATGAGCAAGGGATGATTTTCCATTTGTTTATGTCTTCTATGATTTTTTTCAGCAGTGTTTTGTAGTTCTCCTTGTAGCAATTTTTCACTTCCTTGGTTAGATGTATTCCTAGGTATTTTTTTGTGGGCAGGGGGCTATTGTAAATGAGATTGCATTTACTATTCAGTTATAGGAATTCCTTATATGTTTTGGATAGAAATTAACTCCTTATCAGGTACACAGTTTGTGAACATTTTCAACAATTCTTTGCCTGTTTTTTTTTTCACTTTGTTGATTATTTATTTTCCTGTGCAGAAGCTTCTTTGTGTCATGTAGTCCCGTTTATCCATCATTTTGCTGTTCATACCTTTGTTATGTGTTATGCAGGAAATCCATGGATTCGTTGCCAACAGCAAAGTCATGAAGCTTTTCCTCTATGCTTTCTGTTAAGAGTTTTACATTTTGAGTTCTTACATTTAAGTCTTTAATCCATTTTTGTTGATTTTTGTGTGTACTACAGTTAGTTAAGAGACTTTTTTTTGTGTATATAATATTCTGTTTTCTTAACACAATTAGTTGAAGATACTCTTTTCCCTATTGTGTATTGTAGGCACTTTTGTCCAACAACAGCTGACCGTGTGTGGGAATTTGTTTCTGAGCTATCATGTTTTATTGGTCTATATGTTGGTTTTTATGCCAGTAGCACACTGTTTTACTTACTGTATCATTGCAATATTATTTTGAGCCCAAGATGTGTGATATCTCTAGCTTTGTGGGTTTTTTGTTCTTAAGATTTGCTGTTTTGAGTCCTTTGTGTTTCCATATGAATTTGAGAATTGTTTCTATATTTTATAAAAAATTAATTGGGACTTTCATAAAGATTTTATTAAATCTGTAGATTGATTTAAACAGTGCAGACATTTTAACAATGTTAAGTATTACAATCCAGAAATATGGGATATCGTCTCACTTGTTTGTGTCATCTTTAATTTCTTTCATCAATGTTCTGTAGTTTTTAGTTTTCAGGATAAGATTTTTGCCTCTTTAGTTAACTTTATTCTTAAGTATTTTATTCCTTTAATACTATTGTGAATGATATTTTCTAATTTCCTTTTCACGTAGTTTGCTGTTAGTGTATGGAAACCAAAAAAGAAAAGAGCTTTTTTATTTTAAATGGAGACTTTAACGTTTCTACATATAAAATCATGGCATTTGCCTACAAAGAAAATTTTATATATTTTTTTTCTAATTTGGATGCCTGTTATTCCTTTTTTATGTTCAATGGATCTTGCTGAGATTCACAGGATTATGTTAAATAAATGTGCCAAGAATGGACATCCTTCTCATGTTTCTGATGTTGGAAGAATAGCTTTCAAGTTTTCACCCTTGAATGTGTTACTCTTGGCCTTTTTGCTGCTCTTTATAATATAGCAGAGGATATGGCCATTATTATATTGAGGTACTTTTCTTCTATTATTAGTTTTTTGATAGTTTTTATCATGAAAGTGTGCTCATTATTGTCAAATGCTTATTTGCATCTATGAGGTAATCATGAGATTTTAAGTTTTTATTTCGTTAATGTAGTCTATTAGACTAATTAATTTTTGTTTTATAAATCATCTTTACATCCCAGAGATAAGTCCCATTTAATCATGGTATGGAGACATTTTAATGTGCTATTGTTTCAGTTTGCTAGCACTTTGTTGAAGACTTTTGTATGTGTATTAATTCTAGTATATTGTCTGTAGTTTTCCTTTTTGTGGTGTTTTTGTCTGGCTTTGGTATCAGATTAATGCTGGCCTCATATAATTAGCTTATGAGTGTTTACTCCTGTTCAATTCTTTTGCAGAGTTTAGGAAGGATTTGCATTAATTCTTCTCCAAATATTTTATAGAATTCACCAGTGATGCCATCTGCTATAGATTTTTCTTTTTTGAGAGTTTTTTGAATAATGACTTAATCTTCTTATTATAAATCCATTTAGATTTTCTATTTCTTCATAATTCAGTCTAGCTAGGTTGTATATTTCCAGTAATTTATATGTTTCTTCTAGTTTACCTGGTTTCTTAGCATACAAGTGTTTATAGTAATTTGTATAATCCTTTCTTTTTCTGTGACATCATTCATAATGCCTCCTGTTTAATTTCTGTTTCTATTTCTCTTTTCTTTTTTATTCTTAGTTAGTCTAGCTAAGGATATGTCAACTTTTTTTTCAAAATATTAACTCAGTTTTGATGTTGAGTTTCTTCTGTTTTACATTCTCTATTGGCTTTATTTCTGCTCTAATCTTTATTATGTTCTTCTGCTAACTTTGGGCTTTGTTCTTTTTCTTGTTTGTTGAGATGTAAAGTTAGGTTGTTTATTTAAGATCTTTATTTTATTAAGTAGGTATTTATCAATATAAACTTTCCTCTTAGTACTGCTTTTACAACATCTCATAAGGTTTGGTATGTCATGATTTTTAAAAAATTGTTATCAAAGCAATTGCATATTTATATTATCATCTCTTTTTTGACCTCCTGGTTGTTCAAATGTATATTGTTTAATTTACACATATTTTTGAACTTTTCTATTTTCTTCTGGTATCAAACTAGTTTTATCCCACTGTGGTTGTCAAAATATTAGCTTGATATCAATCTTATTAAATGTGTTAAGACATGTTTTGTGGCCTAATATTTGCTGTATCTTGAAGAATGTTTCGTGTACACTTCAGAAGAATTTATGTTCTTTTGCTTTGGGGTAAAATGCTCTGTATATGCCTGTTAGGTTCATTCGCTCTATAGTGTTGCTTACATCATGTTTCCTTAAGTGTGGTATTGTAGTTACCTACAATTATTGTCTTCCCTTCAATTTTGTGAAATTTTTAATATATTTATATGTTTTAATGTTAGAGGCATACATATCTATAATTGTTATAACTTCCTAGTCAATTTATTCTTTTATCATTATGTAATGTCCTTCTTTGTCTCTTGCAGTTTGCAGTTGTTTTTAACGTAAAGTCTAATTTTTTTCTGAGATAAGTATTCCTAGCTTTCTTTGTTTTAATTACTATTTGTGTAAAATATTTTTTCCATCTCATTATTTATTTAAATCTAGAATCTCTTGTAGAAAACATATTGTTGGATCATATTGTTATTTATTGGTCTGTTCCATATGTTTTATTGGTGTGTCTTTCACATTTACATTTAAAGTAGTTATTGATAGGGAAGAATTTACTATGCCCATCTCATGAATTAATTTCTGTTCTTCTTAGTTCTTAGGCACTTTTTTCCCCTCTTATACTGTCTTGCTTTGTATTTTTATTTTATATTTAGTATTAATATGCTTTCATTTCTTTCTCTTTTTTGTATAATTTATATTTGCATTTTCTTCATGGTTGGCATAAGATTTACTTAAATATCTCACACTAATAACAGTCTATTTGCACTAATCAGAACTTAACTTCAATGGCATACAAATTCTATATTTTACTTCTTCCCTCAAAACTTTGTTAATGATGTCACACTTTATCTCTTTTTATTTTACCTCTTATATAGAATTGAAAGGATTTACCCCCAAGATTAAAAAAATGCATTATTCTGTATTTGTCTATATTTTTACCTCTACCAATGAGTTTTATACTTGGTAGGCTATCATGCTGCTCTTTGGCATACTTTTGTTTCAATTTGAGCATTGTTTTCAATTTAACATTTCCTGTAAGGTAAGTCTAGTGGTGATGATCTCCCTCACCTTTTTTTATTTACCGGGGAAAGTCTTTATCCCTCTTCATTTTTGAAGAACAATTTTGCTGGTTATGGGATTCTTGGCTGGTAGTTTTTTTCTTTCAGTAATTTATCCCAGGCCCTTTTGGCCTAAAAAGTTTCTACTGAGAGGTAACCTGATATTGTTATGGAGATTCCCTTGTATGTTATAAGTCTCTTTTTTCTTGTTGCTTTCAAATATATCTTCTTATCTTTGACTATTGATACTTTAATTGATGTGCCACAGTGTGGATTTCCTTGGTTTTATCTTATTGAGGCAGAGAGAGTCTTTTAGGATTTCTGAATTAGATGTTCATTTCTTCATTGGGATTAGGGAAATTTTCACCTATTATCAATTTGAATAAGTTTTCTGTCCTTTCCTCTCTTTTTCTTCTGGAACTCTAATGTGTATATTTGTCTCCTTGATGATGTCCAATAAGTGCCTTATGTTTTCTTCAAGTTTTTTAAAAAAAAAAATTATTTTTTTTTCTTTTCTGACTGTGATATTCAAAGCAACCTGCATTTAAGCTAGTGTTACATTCTTCTGTTTAATCTAGTCTGCTACTGAATCCTTCTATTGAATGTTTTAGTGAGGTTACTTTCTTCTTTCACTAAAATTTCGGTTTGGTCCTTTTTATTATGTGGCTAGTTCATTTTTTCCCTGAGATTCTGTTGAGAACTTCTACGAGTTTTTTTTTTTTTCCTCATTGGTGTATATGCATTAGAAAAATCTATCACCTCTACCAATCTTCATGGATTGACTTCAATTAGGAGAAAATCATCACCAACCAACCCAGCCGGAGATTCTGGGGGTTCTCTAAAACCTTTGTGCTACCCTAAACCACTGTCTTTTTTCTTAGTGGCCCCTAGGTGTCTAGAGTATGCCAAGTCTCTTTAGTTCTCTGTGATAGATGAGGCAGAAGCCAATCATTCTCACATCATTCTGAGAAGTTGAAACATTGGTTGTGTGGTCCAAATCTTTCCCTCCCCTGGGAAAAAATGAAAGCTTGATTTTTCACCTACTTGCTCTGCAGTTAGCCAGATAGCTGTGGCAAGTGTCTGTGCCAGTTTAGACTACTATATTGTTCTTTTAAATACCTGGGGGTCTAGTGTATATGGGATCTCATCATTGCTTCAAGACAGGCAAGACTGAAGCAAATTCCTTGAATAGCCCCTGGATAAGTTGGAATATTTGACCCATGGTCTAGCTCTTTTCCTAGGAAGAGGTTGACAGCTAGAAGTTTCCTCCTTATTATATAATGCTGCACCACGGATAGGATTATACTGAGATATTGCTTCCAATTTTCCTACCAGTTTTAATGTGGCTAACGAAGCATGCCAAAGCCTTTTGACTAGTTTATGTATTTCTAACAAAAGGAACTTATACTTGCATTATTGTTGAATTGGTGTGTCTATGGGAAGAAGAGCTTGGGGTTCCCTATTCTACTATCTTCCTTCTGCACCAAAGAATCCTCTAAAATTTAATCATTCTTAAGATAAATCAGCACATGTCTACATAACATTAATAGTGCTCCCTTTTAAATGTTATTCAATTCTTGATAGTTTCTATTTTTTAATAGCCATTTATTATTGTTTTTCATTTTCTACAGGACTTTTTTTTTTATTATACTTTAAGTTTTAGGGTACATGTGCACAACGTACAGGTTCATTACATATGTATACATGTGCCATGTTGGTGTGCTGCACCCATTAACTCGTCATTTACATTAGGTATATTTCCTAATGCTATCCCTCCCCCCTCCCCCACAACAGGCCCCGGGGTGTGATGGTCCCCTTCCTGTGTCCAGGTGTTCTGATTGTTCAATTCCCACCTATGAGTGAGAACATGCGGTGTTTGGTTTTTTGTCTTTGCGATAGTTTGCTGAGAATGATGGTTTCCAGCTTCATCCATGTCCCGACAAAGGACATGAACTCATCCTTTTTTATGGCTGCATAGTATTCCGTGGTGTATATGTGCCACATTTTCTTAATCCAGTCTATCATTGTTGGACATTTGGGTTGGTTCCAAGTCTTTGCTATTGTCAATAGTGCTGCAATAAACATATGTGTGCATGTGTCTTTATAGCAGCATGATTTATAGTCCTTTGGGTATATACCCAGTAATGGGATGGCTGGGTCAAATGATGTTTCTAGTTCTAGATCCCTGAGGAATCGCCACACTGACTTCCACAATGGTTGAACTCGTTTACAGTCCCACCAACAGTGTAAAAGTGTTCCTATTTCTTCACATCCTCTCCAGCACCTGTTGTTTCCTGACTTTTTAATGATCGCCATTCTAACTGGTGTGAGATGGTATCTCATTATGGTTTTGATTTGCATTTCTCTGATGACCAGTGATGATGAGCATTTTTTCATGTGTCTTTTGGCTGCATAAATGTCTTCTTTTCAGAAGTGTCTATTCATATCCTTCACCCACTTTTTGATGGGGTTTTATTTTCTTGTAAATTTGTTTGAGTTCTTTGTAGATTCTGGATATTAGCCCTTTGTCAGATGAGTAGATTGCAAAAATTTTCTCCCATTCTGTAGGTTGCCTGTTCACTCTGATGGTAGTTTCTTTTGCTGTGCAGAAGCTCTTTAGTTTACTTAGATCCCATTTGTCAATTTTGGCTTTTGTTGCCATTGCTTTTGGTGTTTTAGACATGAAGTCCTTGCCCATCCCTATGTCCTGAATGGTATTGCCTAGGTTTTCTTCTCAGGTTTTTATGGTTTTAGGTCTAACATTTAAGTTTTTAATCCATCTTGAATTAATTTTTGTATAAGGTGTAAGGAAGGGGTCCAGTTTCAGCTTTCTACCTATGGCTAGCCAGTTTTCCCAGCACCATTTATTAAATAGGGAATCCTCTCCCCATTTCTTGTTTTTGTCAGGTTTGTCAAAGATCAGATAGTTGTAGATGTGTGGCATTATTTCTGAAGGCTCTGTTCTGTTCCATTGGTCTATATCTCTGTTTTGATACCAGTACCATGCTGTTTTGGTTACTGTAGCCTTGTAGTATAGTTTGAAGTGGGGTAGCGTGATGCCTCCAGCTTTGTTCTTTTGGCTTAGGATTGACTTGGCAATGTGGGCTCTTTTTTGGTTCCATATGAACTTTAAACTAATTTTTTCCCAATTCTGTGAAGAAAGTCATTGGTAGCTTGATGGGGATGAACTTAATAAATTAACATAATTTATTTATAAATCTGTTCATCTATTTGGAAATATCAAGTAAAATAGTAGCAGCCTTGAGTGTAATGATTACAATATATACTTCCGTGTGCAGCAGGACTTCTGTAGGTTTGTGCCAGTGGGTGCAGTCATACCTGTACTATTTATTGTGATTTTACTTTATTGCGCTTCACATATATTGCTCTTTTACAAATGTAAGGTTTATAGCAACCCTGCATGGAGTAAGTCAACTCACGTCATTTTTTCAATAGCATGTGCTCACTTCATATCTCCATATCACGTTTGGCAATTCTCCCAGTATTTCAAACTTTGTCACTATTATTGTGCATGTTGTGGTGATCTGTGATCCCTGGTCTTTCATGTTACTATTGTAATTTTTTTGGGGTGCCCTTATAAAATGATGAACTCTATCAATAAATCCTGTGTGTGTTATGGGTGCTCTAAGAACCAGCCATTCCCCTATCTCTCTCCCTCTCATCAGGCCTCCTTATGCCCTGAGACACAGTAATATTAAAATTAGGCTTAAAAAAATTGTGTAATGGCCTCTAAGTGTTCAAGTGAAAGGAAGAATTCCATACCTGTCTTTAAATTGCAAGCTGGAAATGATTAAGCTTGGTGAAAAAGGCATGCCAAAGGACAAGACAGACCCAAAGCTAGGCCTTTTGCATCAAAGAGTAAGCCAGGTTGTGGATGCAAAGCAAAAGTTCTTGAAGGAAAATAAAAAGTGCTACTGCAGTGAACACACCAATGATAAGAAAGCAAAATAGCTGTATTGCTGATATGAAGAAAGTTTTACTGGTCTGCTTAGAAGATCAAACAAGCCACAACATTTGCTTAAGCCAAAGCCCATTCCAGAGCAAGGATTTAAACGCTCTTCAACTCTATGAAGACTGAGAGAGGTGAGAAAGCAGCAGAAGAAAAGTTGGAAGCTAGTGGAAGTTGGTTCACTAGGTTTGAGGAAAGAAGCCGTCTCCATAATGGAGATACGCAAAGTGAAGCAGCAAGTGCTGATGTAGAAGCTGCAACAAGTTATCCAGAAGATTCAGCTAAGATCTTTGATGAAAATGGTTACACAAAACAACAGATTATCAATGTAGGGAAACCGTCTTATATTGGAAGAAGCTTCCATCATGCCATCTAAAACTTTCATGTAGAGAGAAGTAAATGCCTGGTTTTTAAAGCTTTGAAGAACAGGCCGACTCTCACTTTAGGAGCTAATGCAGCTGGTGGCTTTAAGATGAAGCCAATGGTCACTTGCCATTCTGAAAATTCCAAGGCCAGTTTAGAATTTTGCTAAATCTACTCTGCCTGTGTTCTATAAATGGAACAACAAAGCCTGGATGACAGAAACATTTTTTACAGCATGGTTTAATAAATATTTTGAGCCCATTGTTGAGAACTACTGCACAGAAAACAAAAAGATTTCTTTCAAAATATTACTTCTCAGTGACAATACACCTGATAAACCCCCAAAACCCTGACTGAAATGTACAAGTAGATTAATGTTGTTTTCATGTCTATTGACACAACATCTATTCTTCAGCCTATGGATCAGAGTAATTTCAACTTTCAATTTTTTATTATTCAAAAAATACATCTTGCTTTTCAACCCTCAGATACTGTGCTCACGATCTGGGTGACAGGATCATTTGTACACCAAACTCCAGTGACACACACTTTACATAAGTAACAAACCTGCACATGCACACTCTGAACCTACACTAACAGTTGGAGAAAAAAAAAATTAAGGCTATAGCTACCAAAGATAGTGATTCCTCTGATGGAGCTGGACAATGTAAATTGAAAACCTTCTAGAAATAATTTACCATTCTTGATGCCTTTAAGAAAGAACATTAGTAAAACAAATAGGTGAGGAGTTGTTTCTTATGGGTTCAACCTCTGCCTCTTGGGTTCAAACAATTACCATGCCTCAGCCTCCCAAGTAGCTGGGATTACAAGTGTGTGCCACCACACCTCGCTATTTTTTTTTTTTTTGTATTTTTAGTAGACATGGCATGTTGGCCAGGCTGGTCTCAATCTCCTGGCCTCAAGTGATCCACCTGCTTTGGTCTGTGAACATTCTTTTTATTTATTTATTGTTTTTTTTCAAGATGAAGGCTTGCTCTGTTACCCAGCCTGGGGTGCAGTGGTGCAATCTCAGCTCACTGCAACCTCCGCCTCACGGGTTCAAGCAATTCTCCTGCCTCAGCCTCCCGAGTAGTGGGTATTTTAAGAAACTGCACAGCCACCCCCAAACTTCAACAAGCAGCACCCTGATAAGTCAGCAGCTATCAACATCAAGGCAAGGCCCTTTGCAGCGAAAAGATTGTTACTTGCTGAAGGTTCATATAATCATAATTTTCAGCAATATTTTAAGTTAAGATATCCACGTTTTTAGACAATATTATTGTACACTGAAGAGACTATAATTTAAAGATAGCTTTTTAATGCACTGGGAAACCAATAAAAAATATGTGACCCAATTTATTTCTATCTTCACTTTACTGTGGTGATCTGAAACCGAATCTGTGATATCTCTAAGATGTCCTTGCGTACATTTTTTTCCTGTACAAACAAAAAATGATTCTTATTCTCTCACTAAATGTACCTTCTAGACACATATTTCACAAGCATTGGTACAGGGCCTATGATGTCAGGCCTTTTTCCAAAGTCAGGCATGATGAAGTGAATCTAGATTTTATATTCTATCCAGTAGAGTAAGCAGGCAATGACCAAATACACAGAGTTCATCTCAGATTGAGAGACATTCTGGAAGTAAGAATGTGGTATGCTAGAATAATTTGTTTAAAAACATCAGACTACCAAATCCTTTCTGAGTAGGTTACATGTAGAGAGCTGAACGTTGAAAAAGAGCCTGCACAAAAGAGATGAGGGAAAAAAATCTTCTAGGCATATGAAAAGAAAGTACAAATTTTGTGAAGTAAGGCTTGGTACATTCTAGGAACAGAAAGCTTGTGAGAATAGAGTGAGTTGATAAAAAGAGCCATGCTAGATGAAGATGGGAAAGTAAGCAAAGCCAGATAAGAAGGCTTAGAAGATCAAAGGAAGTTTTGGGCATTTCACTTTTAGTACAATGAAATGACACAAATGAATTTCAAGCAAGGGATTAATATGACATAATTTATAATTTTAAATAACACTCTGGTCAATATGAACAAATTAATGTTGTAGTTAATTACTGGAAACATCAAAACCAGTTATGGAAATGGAATACTCCAATTGATGAATGATGATAATTTGGTCTAGTTTCTTAGCAGTGAAGAAATAAGAAAGTAATATGGAGATTTTGCTAGTGGGTTCATCAGAACATGCTGAAGGATTGTGTGGGGAAAGACGAAAAGAAAACAAGACATTTTCTATTTTATAATTTGATCAACTAAGTATATAAGTGTGTGGTTTCTTTATGTGAGAAAGAAGAAAAGAGGAATGTGGTTTTGAAGGTGAGGAAATACAGGTTTATCACTTGGTATATAAAGATTCAGAAACCATGTTCAGGAGAAAGACACAGAGACCTATTTAACAATTTATGCTACCGTATGTAGAAAGCATAGGATTTGATGTAAGGTAAAAGTTGGAAACTCAACATTTGTATACTTTTTAACCATTTTCTCAAATTCTATAAACTTTACATTCCTTGACTGTAATTAATACACGTATCTTATAAATCTATAGAGTTACATGAGAAATGCATGTAATACATACATGATATGCACCTCATTAATCATAGTTTCATTATTTCGACTACTTAAGCATAAGTATAAATATATTCGAAATTAGAAATTCCACAAAATATTTAGCTTACAAATCTGGTCTTTTTATCAACATCGGGAATATTATTTCAAGACAGTTGTTATAATTGACATTGTGCTAAATAAACACTGTGCAATTCAAAAACACTGGAAAAATGTTGAAGACACATCTCAATATAATTTATCCCATTTCTTTTTCTCAGAATTTTACCATAGCATTTCTTCAGGGAACATAAATAATTCAAGAAGTACATAACTCAAAAGTCAGTATGAGTAAAGAATAAGTAAGGTGTGGTGTCTGAATGGGCACTATGAATGAAAAGAGGGAAAACATTTCTGAATTTCAGTGCAAGGGATAAAATTATAAGTTTCAGTATAAGGGATTTGGTTGGTTGGTTTTTATTTATTAGGTTTATTTGTTTACTTATTTACTTATTACTTATTTTACTTATTTTATTTGTTTGATTACTTGGCTTTTGATGAAAACATAGGTTTGTAGGGAAGTGCAGGGTCTGGAGTGCAGTGGCACCATCTCTGTTCACTGCAACCTCCGCCTCTTGGGTTCAAACAATTATCGTGCCTCAGCCTCCTGAGCAGCTGGGATTACAGGCGTGTGCCACCACCACACCTCGCTGGTTTTTTTTTTTGTATTTTTAGTAGACATGGCATGTTGGCCAGGCTGGTCTCAATCTCCCGGCCTCAAGTGATCCACCTGCTTTGGTCTGTGAACATTCTTTTTATGTATTTATTTATTTATTTATTTATTTTGAGATGAAGCCTTGCTCTGTTGCCCAGCCTGGGGTGCAGTGGAACAATCTCGGCTCACTGCAACCTCCGTCTCCTGGCTTCAAGCAATTCTCCCACCTGAGCCTTCTGAGTAGTGGGTATTACAGGTGCCTGACACCACGCCTGGGTAATTTTTGTATTTTTAGTAGAGATGAGTTTTTACCATGTTGGCCAAGCTGGTCTCAAATTCCTGACCTCATGATCCACCCGTCTCAGCTCCCAAAGGGTCTGTGAACATTCTTAAAATGACAACTACAGGATTAGGATATTTCATAAATGTAGTTGATAAAGCAGAGTCAGAGCTTTCTGTATTGATCTATACAAACATGTAGATGAGTCGATATTATTATATTATCAAACATGGTGACCACCAATACCCTGTTTTGTCCAGATACCACACAGCAGGTTTTCTATGATAAATACATTGTAGGCCACAGGTAGGAGGATTTGATAATTAAAATATGAAGTTAAACATTTCTGATGATATATAAAGTAAGAGTGTACACTGTCTTATAGCTCGGAGGGTGTTTCAGAGCAGGGTTTCTGGATTACCCCTGTTTGAGCTCCTGCTCTTCAGCATACTGGTGAGGTAATTTTGCTTGTTACTTGATATTTCTGGAGGCAGATTTCCATGTCTCAAAGAAGATAATAATTTCACTCTGATGAGCTATTTGAAAGGATTCAAAGATACTGAGTAAGCCTATAATTAAAAATGTGTGTAAGGGCTTATTTATTCACAGCTACTATTGTTACTACAGTATATCTTAACATTATAAACAAACCTAATATTTATTGAATGTCTGAATGCTAGGATATTATTTATACTCTTAATATCTCTAAAATCAATTAACTCCATTTTATAAAAGATGAAATTCAGATTCAGAAAGATGGAGTGGCTTTTCAGTGACTGTGTTAAGTAATATCGAATTCAAGTTTTTCTCACATCACATAATAATGCTTTGTTCAGTGTAACTTCATCTCCTAAAAGTAGTGTGTCTGCATGAATTCATTCACATTTATATTAATTCTACCTCAGGCTGAAGTAATCAATTTTCATTACTTCCTCTAGGAATTCATTCTTATTCCTCTTATATTGTTGTTTCCAACTTCTCTCTCCCTCACATTCCTTTTTGTTATGTGGACATAAATTAATTTCATATTTTATCATCACTATTGTCTCTTTTGATAATAATTTATATTGAATTTAGAAAAAACAATGATAGAAGAGTAAACAGAAACACTTTACCATTCACTTATTTCATTTCTAATATTCTGTTTCCCTGATCTTTGCATTAGTTCTTACTTCAAGCACACAATTCAAATCAGATGGATGTGTTGTTTGGGTGAAACCGAGATGCCGTGATCAGACTTTCCATGGTTCATTTCATTGCTTTTTTTCTTTTTAATTTTACTTTAAGTTTTGGGATACATGTGCTGAACGTGCAGGTTTGTTACATGGGTATACATGTGCCATGGTGGTTTTCTACGTGGGTATACATGTGCCATGGTGGTTTTCTATGTAGGTATACGTGTGCCGTGGTGGTTTTCTACGTAGGTATACGTGTGCCGTGGTGGTTTTCTACGTAGGTATACGTGTGCCGTGGTGGTTTTCTACGTAGGTATACGTGTGCCGTGGTGGTTTTCTACGTAGGTATACGTGTGCCGTGGTGGTTTTCTACGTAGGTATACGTGTGCCCTGGTGGTTTTTTATGTAGGTATACGTGTGCCGTGGTGGTTTTTTACATGGTTATACGTGTGCCGTGGTGGTTTTTTACATAGGTATATGTGTGCCGTGGTGGTTTTTTACATAGGTATATGTGTGCTGTGGTGGTTTTTTACATAGGTATACATGTGCCATGGTGGTTTGCCATCATCTAGGTTTTAAGCCCCGCATTAGGACGTTTCATTGCTTTTGATGCCAGCTTCCATGCTTTTCTCTTCGAGAATCCACTCATCTTTTTATACAAAGTGAAGCCCTTGGTTATGTTCTCTGCTCCTTAATACAGAACAGTATTAAAATTTTGCTCTCTTGTTCAATGAATGTGACCATTTTATAGGTTGAATCACTGAAAAATATATCAATAAAATTTAAACTAAATTAATTTAGTGATAATGAAACTAGTCACTTCAAAAATGGCAAGTATTCATCTGTATACATTTTAAGAAAAAAATGAAAGGCTATGCTGTTACAAGCTTATCATTCAGGTTCACAGTGACTATAACATTTTGAGAGTAACATTTTAGAAAACATAATAATTTAAAATACCACACACTTAATAAACTGAGGGAAATATTGTATATTTAGGAGTGTATTTTATTTAAAATGATGAATTATTCATGAAATAGACTCAGATTTGTCTGGTCTCTTACTTGGTTTAGAACCATAAGGTATGGTGTGGTAGCCTATAAGCACATGAGTCAATTGAACAGCTAAAATGTAGCTAGTGCAACTGAGGAAGTGAAATTTTAACTTTATTCAATTTAAATTAATTTAAATTTTAATTCATGAGCTTTAAAGTAATGTAATTTTCTGTTAAACACAACTGTAATTTTTTTGCTAAGATTACATTTCACTTTGTTGAAAATGTGTTCAAATTGAAATGTGCTATCAACGTAAAATGTGCACAGATTTTTAAGACTTACTATGAAAAAGAGAATGTGAGCTATCACATTAATAGTTTTTTATGTTGGTTACATGTTGAAATGATATCATTTAGGATATAATTAAAATAAAATATTGTAGCACAATTAATTTCACCCATTTTACTCTCACAGCATGCTTACTAGAAAATATAACGTTACAAATGTGGCTTTGTATTATCTTTCTGTCTGACAGCGGTAGTCTAAAAAGTACATGATCATTGACATGAAGAGACTACTGGTAAACAGTCTCCTAAGTTGCTTCATTTAAACTCTCCAGGACTAGACGTTTATAAGAATTAAATTAATTTCTGAAAATTATCTTTTGGACAGTTCCTAGGCTAGTAATTTTGTTAAAAAATTAATACTCTATAGTCAAAAAAATCCTGGCCGGGCACGGTGTCTCATGCCTGTAATCCTGGCACTTTGGGAGGCAAAGGGGAGTGGATCACTTGAGGCCAGGAGTTCTAGGCCAGCCCGGCCAGCGTGGCAAAACCCCGTCTCTACTAAAAATACAAAAAATTAGCCGGGCGTGGTGGTGCGCACCTGTAATCCCAGCTACTCGGGAGGCTGAGGCAGGAGAATTGCTTGAACCCAGGAGGCGGATGTTGCCGTGAGCCAAGATCGTACCACTGCACTCCACCTTGAGCAACAGAGCAAGACTCCATTTGAAAACAAACAAACACCACAAAAAACAAAAACAAAAACAAAAAACATGTGTGGACTAATAAATGTTCTTCTAGTTATGTGAGTTGAGTCTTTTTCTTTTCTATTTTTAAGGCTGAAAAATAATCTAAACTTGCTGAGTTGGGGCTAAGAACATATTTGTTATTGACTGGTGCCCAGCTATAGAAGCATAGGCAACCTCACACACATAGATATTGGATAACTTTTTAATTCCGATAGTACATGCAGCATTTTAATAAGGGCAAATAATTTTATTTGGAAACTTACTAGCAGGTTAGAAACAAATAAATCTAAGTGTTTCAAAACATATTTTAATTCAAATTAATCATAAATCTATAATGTGATATCATAGTAAATGGAAAGCAAGAAAAATTACACTCAAGTTTGAAATTGTGAATGATGGTTTTACATTCAGTTTTGATTTTAATAGAAAATTTAGTGCATCTAAATGATGTTTAACAAATGCATAAAATAAATCAATTCATTAGATTTTATCCAATCTAATGTTTGTGAATAAAATTATTTGCCCGATTCATTGATTTTGCTGCAAATTTAAATTCAATTATATTAATTAATTACATTTATAGATTATCTTTACATTAATCAGCATTTATTATGATTTATTTTTGTAAGTAGTAGCTTCATTATGCTTAATGATAAGCAGTTATCATTAAGACCTTTACTAGGAAATAAAAATTATATGTGGAAAGTGATTTTTTTTTTTGCTTTATAAACAAAAGTGAAACAACACATATTTAAGAGAGAAAAGAAAAAATTTGAATACCACTCAACACAACACTTCTGACACTAGATGTGTGGGGTTATTTTCCCTCATACCAAGCACATCTCCAGCAGATACCAGCTGGGTGTCCTCTAATTAAATTCAATTCTGATACCTTCAGCCTGCAGTTGTCAGATACCAAGACTAAGGACTCAGTCCCACTAAACTGTCTCCCACTATAGATGCCAATCACAAGTCCCAGGTTGTGACCTGTACTTCTGAATGACCTTCAGTGAATTAAAGTTTCCATAACTTCCTGCTTTGGTTCAATTAATTTGCTGGAGTGGCTCACAGAACTTAGGAAAACGCCTTATTTATATGTAACTATTTATCAAGAAGTATATTACAAGGAATACAGGTGAACGCCAAGATGAAAGAGATGCATAAGGCGAGGCATGTAGGGATGAGCACAGTGCTTCCATGCCCTCTCTAAGCTTGCCACTCTCCAGGAGCCTCCACATCCTCAGCGATCTGGAAGCTCCCTGAACCCAGTCCTTTTGGGTTTCTAAGCCTTCAGCCTTTCTGCCCTCACTGGAAGTGGAAGGGGTGGGCCTGAAAATTCCAATGCTCTAATCATATGGTTGATTTCCCTGGCAAGCAGCTCACACTTTGAAGCTAATTAGTAGAGATCCCCAGCCACCAGTCATCTCATTAACATACAAAAGACACTCCTATTACTCCAGAGATTCCAAGGGTTTTGGGACATTATAACTTTGATGTAATAAAAGATATTTAATTTTGATTTGTATTTTAATTTTATTTCCATCAGTAGCTTTAGAGGTACAAGTTATTGTTGGTTACATGGATAAATTGTATCGTGGTAAAATCTAATTTTAGTGCACCCATCACTTGAGTAGTCTACAATGTACCCAATATGGAGTTTCTTATTCCTACTTCCTACCCTCTCTATTTCTGAGTCTCCAGTGTCCATTACACCACTCTGCAGGCCTTTGAGTACCCATAGGTTAGTTCCCACTTAATAAGTGGGAACACGTGGTATTTGGTTTTTCACCCCTGAGCTGCTTCACTTAGAATAATAGCTTCCAGCTCCATTCAAATTGCTGCAAAAGGTATTATTTCATGCTGTTTTAGGGATGAGTAGTATTCAGTGGTGTATATGTGCCATATTTTCTTTATCCACTCATCAGTTAATGGCCACTTACGTTGGTTGCATGTTTTTGTACTTGTGAATTTTGCTGCAATAAACATATGCATGCAGATGACTTTTGGCTATAATGACTTATTTTCCTTTGGGTAGATACCCAGTCATAGAATTTCTGTATTGAATAATAGATCAACTTTTAGTTCTTTGAGAAATCTCCATACTGTTTTCCACAAATGCTGTACTAATTTACATTCCTAACAGCCATGTATAAGTGTTCCCTTTTCACCACATCCATGCCTATATTTATTTATTTTTATTTTTTTAATTTTTAATACTTGCCATCCTGCCTGGGGTAAGGTGGTATCTTATTGTGGTTTTAATTTCCATTTTCCTCATGATTAGTAATGTTGAGCATTTTTTCATATGTTTGTTGGCCATTTGTATGTCTTCTTTTGAGAAATTTCTATTCATATCATTTGCCCACTTTTTCATAGGATTATTTGTTTATTTCTTGCTGATATGTTTGAGTTATTTGTGGATTCTGGATGTGAGGTCTTTGCTGAATGCATAGTTTGCAAATATTTTCTCCCATTCTTTGGGTTATATGTTCACTCTGATGACTATTTCTCCGCTATGCAGAAGCTTTCTAGTTTAATTAGGTCCCATGTATTTACTTTTGTTTTTGTTGAATTTGCTTTTGGGCTATTTGTTAGTTATAAATTATTTGCCTAGACCAACGCCCAGAAGAGGTTTTCCTAGATTTTCTTCTAAAATGTTAATGGTTTCAGATCTTAAAGTATTTAATTCATCTTAAGTTTATTTGTATATATGGTAAGAGATAGAACTCCATACACAAAATTTATTCCTCTGCAGGATTCGTTCTTCTACATGTGACTATCCAGTTTTTCCAGAATCATTTATGGAATAGTGTGTCCTTTTCCCAGTATATGTTTTTGCATGCTTTGGTGAAGACAAATTGGTTGTAACTATTTGTTTTTTGGGGGGGATTCTATATTCTCTTCCACTGGTGTGTGTATCTACTTTTATATCAACACCATGCTGTTTTGTTAGTATAGCCTTGTAGTATAATTTGAGTTGGGTTATGTGATTTCTTCAGATTTGTACTTTTTTTGCTTGGGATTGTTTTGGCTATTCAGGTACTTTTGGGATTCCATATAATTTTAGGATTATTTTCTCTAATTCTTTGTAAAAATGATGTTGTTAATTTGACGGGAATTTCATTGAATCTGTTATCTGCTTTGGGCAGTATGGTCATTGTCATGATATTGAATTATGAAGTCCATGAGCCTGACTGAGATGTATTTTCATTTGTTTGTGTCATCTATGATTTCTTTCAGCAGTGTTTCATAGTTCTCCTTGTAGAGATCTTTTACCTCCTTGGTTAGAGGTATTCCTAGGTGTTGAATTGTATTGTATTGTTTTGTATTGTATTGTATTGTATTTTTTGCAGCTGTTGTAAAAGAGATTGAGTTCTTGATTTGATTCTCAGCTTGATT
Source organism: Homo sapiens (assembly GCF_000001405.40). Taxonomy (NCBI): domain Eukaryota; kingdom Metazoa; phylum Chordata; class Mammalia; order Primates; family Hominidae; genus Homo; species Homo sapiens. The sequence continues at coordinate 20,393,729 of NC_000005.10, read as the reverse complement.
GTTGTTGGTGTATAGCAATGCTACTGATTTGTGTACATTGATTTTGTAACCTGAGACTTTACTGAATTCATTTATCAAATCTAGGAGTCTTTTGGAAGAGTCATTAGGGTTTTCTAGGCATACCATCATATCATTAGCAAACAGAGATAGTGTAGTTGTAAACCTTAACACTGTATTGTAGATCTTCAGATTTAACTGCTGAGTTACTTATTATTATAATCAACTTAGTTACTGCATCAGGAAGTTGGTGAGTTGAAATGAGTTGACAAGAAGAAAGGCACACAAATGTTCGTCTATACCAGCAGTGAGAACGCCTTTTAGTTATTTAAAAAATAACAACAACAAAACCCTTTCATTAACATATTCTATGTCACAGGGAACACCTTTTGAATGTATATATATGCTTCTAAAATGTGATACAAATGTGTATAAATAAATCATTGAGCAAAAGTGAGGCTTATCAAATGTCCCCACTGAAAAAGCATTGCATCTTGGGAGCATATAGATTATGATAGCCATCAAACACTACTAAGCCACACTATCTTTATCCTATGACATTCACAAACTTGTTTATTCAGTTTCTTGATTATATTAGCATAATATAGTAAGACACCTATGCCACCTCATATACCGTTAGATCTAATATATATCACATATATTTGTGTATGTGTTTCCAAAGATTTTTCAGTAAGTCCTTATTGTATGAATATCATTCTGGATAATAATCATGATAGAAATACTAAATATCATACCCCTATTGCTGGATTTGTTGAAGAAACATATACTCATATCCAATGGTGAGTATATGTTTCAGTTTCATTTTTCTCAAAATATTGCAATAAATTTTATTGTAAATGGAATGTGAGATCAGTGTAACCTGAAATAAAAAAAGTGCTGAACCAAAATAAGGTATGTTCACTGACTTACAATTGGAGCAATTTTTAATTCATATAAGTAAATATGTCATCATTGTAAATTTTTCCTTGAAATAGTACAATCTATATACTGTATTTTTCTCTAAAAAGAAATATAGGTAGTAGTTGAAAGCACTGCATTAGACTCAAAGACCTATATTCCAGACCCGTCTTCATCAGCTACAAAACATTTGTTCTCCTTGGGCATATTACATAATTTTTCAAGTTTGCAGCATTCTCATCTATAAGAAGGGGAAAATAATATTCACTGTCTCTTCATTTATGCACTGAATAGTGAGTTATAAGAAAATTTTAGCTAGAAATTATAAATATATATGAATTGAGTTCTCAAGCATGTAAAATACCTCAGAAAAATAAAATTATTGGAAGTTAAGAGATAGGGACCATTGGATAAAGATAATCTATCTGAAATCATATATAATCATTTAAACATAAAAATGAATAGTTTTTTTCTATAATTTCTCTTGTTTGACATTGTTAAATCATAAAGTTTCCTGTTTTGAAAAGTGATATTTACATTTTTAAAAACTTTTTCAAATTTTCAACTTGTATAATAAATAATTCAATAATTATTTGGTACCATTCTCACTGTCATTGTGTTGTAATATGAAAGTGTGTGAAATAAGATGGTGAATATGACACAACTTTTGCATATTATGGTGTTATTTTCTACTCTCAGATATTATTTTATCTTTCTTTAAAAATACTTTGACAAATAAATACAAGTATTACATTTATCTACAATAAATTTTGCCATTGCAATTTCAAAAAATAAATGGATGTAAGTTCATTTAGATTTTATATTAATAGTATTTTGCTTTAGAGACTAAGTATATTTTGGCTGTTTATGCTATAACAATAAATTAATCATTTTGTAACTGTGAAAATTAATACTGTTCTGCATTCTTGTAAAGCTTCAAAAAATAATCATTATAAATTATACCACTTCTTATTCAATGGAGATTGGGTATAAAAAATGGCTAATTTATGGAAAATTTATAAATTCAAGTTTGTTTCTATTGTGAACAAGGAGAGTAAAGCTAACGGGGCATTTCTGGGTTTTACACATCAATGTCAGAGACCAAATTGTGAAATTATTAACGTGATGTATTTAAATTTGTTTGTCTGCAAACAATGTCAATGAAATTTTAAGTAATGTAAAGCTCTGTGGATTGATCAAAAGCAAATAAATCTGTGAAACTTAATAGTAGAATCTCACAGCTGATTATACTTAGTAAATAGAACATAGGAATAAGATATTAAGCATGAAATCTGAATAATAATAATTATAATTGATTATAGTGGTATTTTAGCTGAATGTACTTATATAGCACATTAATGTGTCTAAGATATGCTAAATATTTCATTTATATTGATTCATTTTTATCTTTACAAAAATTCTATCATATAGCAACTATTAGCATTCCTAATTTTTAGATAAAGACCATGCAATAAGTTCAGAGTCTACTGATGCAGGATTTATGACCCTAACCACCCCATCATGATTTAAAACCTACCCTACAATATAAGAGTATCTTCATCATATGTGAGGCAGGTTATATATGTTTATATATGTGTTTATGTTATATATATCTTTATGTTATATACATGTTTATGGCAGTTCTTGCCACAAACTTTATTTTTAATTTTTTATTTTTTTATTATACTTTAAGTTTTAGGGTACATGTGCATAACGTGCAGGTTAGTTACATATGTATATATGTGCCATGTTGGTGTGCTGAACCCAGTAACTCATCATTTAGCATTAGGTATATCTCCAAATGCTATCCCTCCCCTCTTCCCCCACCCCACAACAGGCCCCAGTGTGTGACGTTCCCCTTCCTGGGTCCATGTGTTCTCATTGTTCAATTCCCACCTATGAGTGAGAACATGTGTTTGGTTTTTTGTCCTTGTGATAGTTTGCTGAGAATGATGGTTTCCAGCTTCGTTCATGTCCCTACAAAGGACATGAACTCATCCTTTTTTATGGCTGCATGGTATTCCACGGTGTATATGTGCCACATTTTCTTAATCCAGTCTATCATTGATGGACATTTGGGTTAGTTCCAAGCCTTTGCTATTGTGAATAGTGCCGCAATAAACATACGTGTGCATGTGTCTTTATAGCAGCATGATTTATAATCCTTTGGGTATATACCCAGTAATGGGATGGCTGGGTCAAATGGTATTTCTAGTTCTAGATCCCTGAGGAATCACCATGCTGTCTTACACATGATTGAACTAGTATACAGTCCCACCAACAGTGTAAAAGTGTTCCTATTTCTCCACATCCTCTCCAGCACCTGTTGTTTCCTGACTTTTTAATGATCGCCATTCTAACTGGTGTGAGATGGTGTCTCATTGTGTTTTTGATTTGCATTTCTTTGATGGCCAGTGATGATGAGCATTTTTTCATGTGTCTTTTGGCTGCATAAATCTCTCCTTTGAGAAGTGTCTGTTCATATCCTTTGCCTACTTTTTGATGGAGTCGTTTGTTTTTTTCTTGTAAATTTGTTTGAGTTCACTGTGGATTCTGGATATTAGCCCTTTGTCAGATGAGTAGATTGCAAAAATTTTCTCCCATTCTGTAGGTTGCCTGTTCACTCTGATAGTAGTTTCTTTTGCTGTGCAGAAACTCTTTAGTTTAATTAGATCCCATTTGTCAGTTTTGGCTTTTGTTGCCATTGCTTTTGGTGTTTTAGACATGAAGTCCTTGCCTATGCCTATGTCCTTAATGGTATTGCCTAGGTTTTCTTCTAGGGTTTTTATGGTTTTAGATCTAACATGTAAGTCTTTAATCCATCTTGAATTAATTTTTGTATAAGGTGTAAGGAAGGGATCCAGTTTCAGCTTTCTACCTATGGCTAGCCAGTTTTCCCATCACCATTTATTAAATAGGGAATTGTTTCCCCATTTCTTGTTTTTGTCAGCTTTGTCAAAGATCAGATAGTTGTAGATATGCAGCATTGTTTCTGAGGGCTCTGTTCTTTTCCATTGGTCTATATCTCTGTTTTGGTACCAGTACCATGCTGTTTTGTTTACTGTAACCTTGTAGTATAGTTTGAAGTCAGGTAGCGTGATGCCTCCAGCTTTGTTCTTTTGGCTTAGGATTGACTTGGCGATGCGGGCTCTTTTTTGGTTCCATATGAACTTTAAAGTAGTTTTTCCCAATTCTGTGAAGAAAGTCATTGGTAGCTTGATGGGGATGGCATTGAATCTATAAATTACCTTGGGCAGTATGGCCATTTTCTGGGCTAAATGCTCCAATTAAAGACACAGACAGCAAATTGGATAAAGAGTCAAGAACCATCAGTGTGCTGTATTCAGGAAACCCATCTCACGTGCAGAGACACACATAGGCTCAAAATAAAGGGATGGAGGAAGATCTACCAAGCAAATGGAAAACAAAAAAAGGCAGGTGTTGCAATACTAGTCTCTGAAAAAACAGACTTTAAGCCAACAAAGATCAAAAGAGACAAAGAAGGCCATTACATAATGGTAAAGGGATCAATTCAACAAGAAGAGCTAACTATCCTGAATATATATGCACCCAATAGAGGAGCACCCAGATTCATAAAGCAAGTCCTTAGAGACTTAGAAAGAGACTTAGATGCCCACACAATAATAGTGGGAGACTTTAACACCCCACTGTCAACATTAGACAGATCCATGAGACAGAAAGTTAACAAGGATATCCAGGAATTGAACTCAGCTCTGTACCAAGCAGACCTAATAGACATCTACAGATCTCTCCACCCCAAGTCAACAGAATGTACATCCTTCTCAGCACCACACTGCACTTATTCCAAAATTGACCACATAGTTGGAAGTAAAGCACTCCTCAGCAAATGTGAAAAAACAGAAATTATAACAAACTGTCTCTCAGACCACAGTGCAATCAAACTAGAACTCAGGATTAAGAAACTCACTCTTCAAAACCGCTCAAATACATGGAAACTGAACAACCTGCTCCTGAATGACTACTGGGTACATAACGAAATCAAGGCAGAAATAAGGAAACAAAGACACAACATACCAGAATCTCTGGGACACATTCAAATCAGTGTGTACAGGGAAATTTATAGCACTAAATGCCCACAAGAGAAAGCAGGAAAGATCTAAAATAGACACCCTAACATCACAATTAAAAGAACTAGAGAAGCAAGAGCAAACACATTCAAAAGCTAGCAGAAGGCATGAAATAACTAAGATCAGAGCAGAACTGAAGGAGATAGAGACACAAAAAACCCTTCAAAAAATCAAGGAATCTAGGAGCTGGTTTTTTGAAAAGATCAACAAAATTGATAGACCACTAGCAAGACTAATAAAGAAGAAAAGAGGGAAGCATCAAACAGACGCAATAAAAAAATGATAAAGGGGATATCACCACCGATCCCATAGAAATACAAACTACCATCAGAAAATACTATAAACACCTCTATGCAAATAAACTAGAAAATCTAGAAGAAATGGATAAATTCCTCAACACATACACCCTCCCAAGACTAAACCAGGAAGAAGTTGAATCTCTGAATAGACCAATAACAGGTTCTGAAATTGAGGCAATAATTAATAGCTTACCAACCAAAAAAAGTCTAGGACCAGATGGATTCACAGCCGAATTCTACCAGAGGTACAAGGAGGAACTGGTGCCATTCCTTCTGACACTATTCCAATCAACAGAAAAAGAGGGAATCCTCCCTAACTCATTTTATGAGGCCAGCATCATCCTGATACCAAAGCCTGGCAGAGACACAACAAAAAAAGAGAATTTTAGACCAATATCCCTGATGAACATCGATGCAAAAATCCTCAATAAAATACTGGCAAACCGAATCCAGCAGCACATCAAAAAGCTTATCCACCATGATCAAGTGGGCTTCATCCCTGGGATGCAAGGCTGGTTCAACATACGCAAATCAATAAACATAATCCAGCATATAAACAGAACCAATGACAAAAACCATGTGATTATCTCAATAGGTGCAGAAAAGGTCTTTGACAAAATTCAACAACCTTCATGCTAAAAACTCTCAATAAATTAGGTATCAATGGGACGTATCTCAGCATAATAAGAGCTATCTATGAGAAACCCACAGCCAATATCATACTGAATGGGCAAAAACTGGAAGCATTCCCTTTGAAAACTGGCACAAGACAGGGATGCCCTCTCTCACCACTCCTATTCAACATAGTGTTGGAAGTTCTGGCCAGGGAAATCAGGCAGGAGAAAGAAATAAAGGGTATTCAATTAGGAAAAGATGAAGTCAAATTGTCCCTGTTTGCAGATGACATGATTGTATATCTAGAAAACCCCATCGTCTCAGCCCAAAATCTCCTTAAGCTGATAGGGAACTTCACAAAGTCTCAGGATAAAAAATCAATGTGCAAAAAATCGCAAGCATTCTTATACACAAATAACAGACAAAGAGAGAACCAAATCATGAGTGAACTCCCATTCACAGTTGCTTCAAAGAGAATAAAATACCTAGGAATCCAACTTACAAGGGACAAGAAGGACCTCTTCAAGGAGAACTACAAACCACTGCTCAATGAAATAAAGGATACAAACAAGTGGAAGAATATTCCATGCTCATGGGTAGGAAGAATCAATATCATGAAAATGTCCATAAACTTTTATATCCATTCTTACATGTCTATGGCTGCCTACAATGGCAGTAGTTTGAGTAGCTATAAATAAGACCATGACCCATAAAGCTGAAGATATTTACTCTCGGGTCCTTTATATAAATAGTTTGCTGACCCCTGGTTTATAGGATTCAAGGCAAAACCAATTAAGTATCTAACTCATGGAAAAGAGGTGCAGAACTTCTGAGATACCAAAATACATAATGTATGAATAAGGTTGATTATATATACACACATACCCACACACATAGAGGAGAGAGAGACAGAGAGAAGACAATGACAGTGGCATGCCCCAAAATAAACATAATTTGGGGATTTTGTGTTTTCTATAGGTAAAATAATTATTGGGATAACTGTAGCTTTCAGCAATGTACAAAATATCAAAATGAAAAGAAGACTCATATGAGTTTTCAGCTAATATTGTTATAATATCAAATTATTATAAAAATTGAATATCATATATAAGATATGGGTTATGTGAAGTAGGTTTTATCTACAAAGGGGGAATACAAGTTGAATACAAGTTCTTGCACTTACTCCTGCTGTATACTTGGCCATATTATTTAAGTTATGCATGCCTCGGTTTTCATATGTAAGGGGCGTATGTGGATATATTAGTAATGTTATTATATGGCTTCTCTGATCTAAAAATACATTCCCAGTCTGATTGTAAGCCAATTGCAAGATACACATATGGCAAAATTGTGGATAAAAGACTATGCAAAAGACCATGCTTATTTCTGAGAAAGATGCCATTACAGAATGTTGCTAATTCCTATAATCTAGCTGACATGCTCACATTTTAGAGTCTCTAATTTGGAGAGATTTACCAATTATGTGGCAAATCGCAATAGACTCTCTAGTAGGAATAAATTATTCTGCTTAAACGGACAGCATGGCTGAGAAGAATTAAAAGAATATTCTCAGTGCAGATCTGCTAGCTCCAAGAAAGAAGAGGGAAGCATAGACCAACCTATGCTCTCTACGTTGTTCATTCCAAGTCACCAATGAGATTAAATGACATTTCCTTCCTTGAGGATGAATGCATGAAAAGCAATAATAAGTTCAAGACTATTTGTGCTGATGGAGCTCTCTTCTCATAAACAGAACATGATAGATTCATAATTACATACATAGATGTGTAAATGATTATTAAATTATGTGTAACAACTACACCTATGAAATTCAGTGAGATTTGTTAAGTTCCTCGTAATAGTTTCTGTATTTTAAATAAGAATATGTCTTTATCATTAGAAGTAAAACACAAATTTAACTAAAAATATAAATAGTGAAAATTGATTGTTTATGGGATATTCATATAGTTACAATTTCTGCTACAAAGTTATATTTAGATGTATATTTGTGCAATGTTTATATAGCAGTCTATTTCATACCATGGGAAATAGTATAAAGACACATCAAAGAGAAAGTGAGAAAGAGAAAATCAAAAAGCATTCTTTTCTCCACTTATCTAAAATATCCCCCTCTTGATGTTTCATACATCACTAGTTTGATGAGGTGATTGTGTGTAAGTCAAAAGTTTACAAAAGCCTGGGAGCCATAACGTTTTCCCATCTGTATCAAGAAGAGACTAGAAACACATTTGGTTGCAAATTCTGTGACACCCAAGATCCTAGTTAGCATCAGGATTCCTGAGAGCCTTTTAGGTTAGCCTGAAGAAGTCACAGGATTCTCATTTTGCTTGTTATGAAGGTTTTGGGTATTGTTTCATGTAGATATTTTGGAAGTGAGGGATGGGGACTGGAGCTCAGAACTATTAGATCAGAATTACTCAGAGCCACCAAGGACATTCTTGGAGATTTTCAAAAGGGTGCTTGGCAATCGTTCTCTCTAAAGAGTTTGTCCAGAACATACTGATCTGTGGGAATTATTTAGTTTTTATTGATAACAGGTGATCCTGCTTTGGTGTTTTATGGATTTCTCGATTAAATGCAATCTAAACAATTTTTAAGAGTAGATATTAAATTACATATAAGAAAACCTAACAAGGCCAGGTGTGGTGGCTCACACCTGTAACCCCAGCACTTTGGGTGGCCAAAGTGGGCAGATTACTTGAGGTCAGGAGCTCGAGACCAGCCTGGCCAACATGGCGAAACCCCATCTCTACTAAAAATACAAAAATTAGCGGGGCATGGTGGTGGGCACCCGTGATCTTAGTTGCTCTGGAGACTGAGGCAGGAGAATCACTAGAACCCGGGAGGCGGAGGTTGCAGCGAGCCGCGATCACACCACTGCACTCCAGCCTGGATGGCAGAGTGAGACTCCAACTCAAAATAAATGAATAAATAAATAAATAACACTACTTAATATAGTCAAACAAGGAATTAAATAATATTAAAATATCTGCAACTTCTGATAGTTCTCTGTGTAAGAAAACAAGTGTTGGCAAGGATGCAGAGAAATTGGAATTCTGTGCACTGTTGTTGGTATGTAAAATGTTATTATAGCTAGTATGGAAAACACTATGGAAGCTTATCAAAAAAATTGAGAATAAAACTTTCATATGATCCATCAATCCCACTTATGGGTGTATTCAAAAGAATGGAAATTAGGATGTCAAAGAGGTATTTGCACTTCCATGTCCATTTTAGCATTATTCACAAAGACACGAGATGAAATCAACCTAAGTATCCAACAACAGATGAGTGGATAAAGAAAATGTGGTATATATGCCCAACAGAATACAATTTAGCCTTATAAAAAAGAAAATCCTGCTATAGGCGACAACATGGGTGGCTTTTGACATTACACTAGATGAAATAAGTCAGTCTCAGGATAAACACTGCATGATCTCACTTTTATGTGATATCTAAATTGTCAAAACCACAAAAATGGAAAGTAGAATGCTGGTTTCCAGGCGCTGTGAGAAGGGGGGAAATGAGTTGTTCCTTGGGTAGAAATGTTCAGCTATACAAGCTGAATAAGTTATAGAGGTCTGTCATGCAACATTTTGCCTATGGTTGAGAATACTGTATTGTTATTACAGTAGGTAGATCTCATGTTAAGTGTTTTTGCCAAAGTAAGCTTTTTAAAAAGGAGGGAAAATTCTCTATATTATTGTACTTTTTTAATTTTAAAAACTTTACTGCTTGCTAAATATTTAAGTTAGATAATTTATCTTTGATAGTATTGATATTTAAAATTTTTATTGACTTGAATTTAAATTTTAGATCCCTTTTCTCATAAGTCATTCTTGTCTGGTTGTGATATTGTCACTTATATATCAATTCCTGTATTATAGTCTTGTTGATAATGATATTATCCTTTCTCTAGTCATGCAAAGTCATTTCCCTTTTCTGTACAGTAGTTATACATTTTCGTATTACTATGCTCACAAGTTTATGTTTTATTACAAATTATATTCTGTAATTATATGGCTTGTCAACTTGTTTTCAGTAACTTGTCACTTTTCTTTGGTTTCTAAGAAAATATGTATCCAAAAAGGCATTTTGGTATAACAGCAAATGAAAGATTCACGCAAAAGAGCATTGCAATACAATAGTAAATTAAGCAAGGCATTTTATGCCAGTTGATCAGCTAGAAATTATTCTCCATCCTTGCAGGTAATAAAGGCATCTGGAAAACTGAGACCAAATAAAACAAACCAAAAAGAAAACAAATGCTAGATATTCCGCATTTCAATAGTCCAAAGGATCTCTTTAGCAATTTGCAAATGAAGCAAGGATTCTATCAGCTTTTGAAAGCTCTGAAAATTATTCCTGGAAAAAATATTTCTTTGATGTATGTTCAGTATGTTTTCCCAGCATATGGACAGTGACAAATTATACTCAAGCTTTAATTTTAAAGTACTTCAATGGCTTATATTTGGATAGAATTTTGGTTTGAACATTATGTCCTCCAAGTGGACTTAATACTAACTCAGAACATAAAAACATAAAATTATGATAAGATATACAATATTTTCTATCATAACGCAATATTTAAAACCCAAGGCTACTTTATATTAGCTATATTCTATGGCAGAATTAATGCAGCTAAAATGTAGAAAAAGAAATATCACTAATATTACAATATCTCTGCATTTAACAAGAGTTTTTTTAAGGGATTTTTAGATAGTTTGTGTCAAAAGCGGCAGGTAAGGCAAATACAATTTGGGTAGAATTCTCCTGCTGGCTCAGTATGGTTATTAATAGAGATGTTCCTATTTGGATGAAAAATTAATTGTTGCAATAGCACAGGTAGGGAAGGAATTGAATGACTTGTAGGAGCATGGGAAATGAAAGAAAACAGTTTACTAAGGTGTTGATAGCTGTGGAGAAAAAAACAGTCCACACTGTAGTTACAATATAGCCTAGCCTACAGTATAGTTATGCACACATAACTGGTGTTGGATTTATAAAACAGAGTAAAGCCAGTGTTGTTTGAAGTGGCTGTTTATATTGCTTCCTCTTTGTAATATTCAGGGACATCACGTTTATTGCTTCTGTCACTAGGTGTTCCTAATTGCACCCCTTAAGCTTCAAGCTCCATTCCTCCTGTTCATCTTTATGTGAGAGATGTTTATTTTCTTACCCATTTCCTTCTATAGAAACTCTTCCTATTGATCATACAATGCTGTCATATTGGTGTTTCTGTAAGACATCACCATGATTGGCATCCATTACCTAACAGCTACAGTGACTCTGGCCCTTCACTGTGAAAGCCAATGTCTTCCATGAATTAGCCAGTTACTATCCAGGATTCTATACCACTCTTCTGCAGTTAAAAAAACAAAAAGCCTTCCATTCATTCATTATACATAATCTATGTCTAGTCTCCCCTATATAGGTATGTTCCATGATCTCCTCATCTTTTCCAATGTAAAGTCTCAGTATTTATATAAATAAATGTTAAGAAAAATGCCAGTTGTCACTGCTGTGAAGTTACAGAAGGTATTGTCTCACTTCTCTGATGACATATTCTCGAAATTTTATATTGCCCAGAGATAATTCTGCTCTATCTGGTATTTGGCTAATGTTGGCTAATGACTTGGTTAACCTCTAGTAATTTCATGTTCAATATTTTCTCTCAATTGTATTAATTTTGGAGAACTAGTGAACATAAATACTACATATTTTATTTTAGCACAGCTTAGTGTTCAATATTAAAATACATAGACTGGCAAAAAATTAATGTAATAACTTTTTAAATTGACAATTTAATTGTTCTACATATTATCTTTCATTTTTAATTATTATATTTATAGTATAAATGTCCTTATATATCATTAACACAAGAAAGAGTAAGATACAATTTCATTCTGCTAGCTAATCCGTAAAAATATTTTGCACAATAACTTTACCTCAAGCCATTCTCCTTTAGTTAATATTGATCCTACTTTTGTTGAACGGGAAGAGGTCTCTAACCTATACAGCTCCCACAATTGTTTTTTGACTCTCAGGGCCACCCTTGTAGATATTCTTCTCTCTGGAGACTCTCATTTATTTTATTTACTTATTTATTTGAGATTTTATTAAGTCCCAGACATTTTCTAAGACTGAGCACACATCATTGAAAAGGAAATTACACAGAAAAGCAAGTTAAAATCAATGCCTTCCTTGTTTTAGGGGGTAGGAAGACAATACAAATTTTAAAAGTTAAATATATAGTAAGGTGGATGAGGAGGCTAAAAGTGGGACCCCTTGAGACAACCATGCAGGTGGGGGTACAATTTAAATTGGTTGATGCAATGACCCTTCCATCTTTCTATCCTCTGCTCCCACCCCCTCCAAAATATCACTGCATTCCCAACAAGGACACATACAGTTTCTTCCCCATGAGGCTCCACCTCTTCCTCCAACCTTTTGATAGCATTTGTATGGGTCATATATTACTGTACTAGGACTGCTATAACAACATACCACAGGCTGTGTGACTTAAGCAAAATACATTTATTTTCTCACAGTTCTTGAAACTAGACTAGATTAAAATCAAGATACTGACGGGTATTTTTTCTTTTGTGCCTTCTCTACTTGGCGGGCAAATGGACACCTTCTCACTGTGTTCTCACATGGCCTTTTCTCTGTGCCTGCTCATGGCCTGTGTTTCTCTGTGTATCCTAATCTCCTCTTCCTACACCTACAGATGTGAGGCTGGATTAGGGATCACCCTAAGAACCTCACTTTAATTTACTCACCTCTTTAAAGGTCCTGTCTCCAAATACAATATATTCTGAGGTACTGAGAATTAGGATTTCAACATATAAATTTAGGGGTTACATAATTCAGCCCATAGCAGGTCATATTAATATGAAGCTATAGAGAATTTATATTGGATGGTGTAGACTAATTGTCCATAGTTAATCAGTATAATCCTGTTCCTTTTTGAAATATTATCTGTTAACTCCATTTTTAATTTTGTTTAAAAGCCTTTATTTCTGTCATCTTGGAAAGCAGATAGATTTGTGTTAAGCACCAGAAGTTGAGTGAAGGAGCAAAAATAATTTCATACAGACCAAAGAAAGAAAAAATATTTCAAAAATAATACCTTAACTTCTCACCTAACTAATACCTATCTGTTGTGTGCCTAAAATTAACTCGCTGTAGTTTTCCTCTTAAGTTTGTTTTCATGCTTTAGGTAAAAATGAGGCCACTGCATAACAACAAAATTACGTGCTAAAAACCGTGGTTAAGTACAATGAGTTGGCATTTATTAACATTTTACTATCCAACAGATAATGAGCTATTAAGATACATGAAATTATTTTGAATCTTTACAACCATAAGAAGTATTTTTTAGAAAGCAAATGTTATTTTCTGTCAAACAGTCCATTGAGGTACTTATTATTAATTCAGTTCATAAATGAGAGAAATGAAGTTTAGGATCTTTAAATACCTCCCTAAGTCATATAACTATAGATACTTGAAAATAAATTTGAACCCAAATTTGCAGTACTTAGTTGTGGTGCCAAATAAGTTCAAAGATGAATTTCTAACACAATTTTGACCCATCCATCAAAATGCTATTAAATGGACAAATATATTTTTATAGATGCTACATTTTAGATCTAGCTATTTCCTTTGTGCTATTTCATCCCTCATTTTGCAAAGATATCCACTTTGTGCCTTTAGCCATCAATCATTAGAAGCTACAGTCCATCTTTTTCTGAACGAAAACAATAAAACACTTATGATGCTTTATGGAATTCAGATATTGGAACGTTTTGCAACTGTACCACCATATTATGTTGGTTTTTTTAGTGTCTATCTAGAAGGCCAATTTTGCTTCAGTGATTGGGGTCACAACCTAGGGCTGGCTGGCTCACACCTTTTTCTCTCTCCTTTTCTCATACTGATTCTTCAAGAGTCAGAGATAATTTAATGTTTTTTTTTCATATTTGTCTTTAATAAATGCTATCCACAGTACAACTTTAATATTTTTATTGCCTGATCTTTAATGGCTACATGCTGAATCTGTCCTTCAAAATAAAATCCTACATCCAGACATTTAAGTAATTTTAAGGATACATTAAAATAATCTCTCTAAATATATACTTATATATGTCATTCATCATGTTTTTATTTTTCATCACATATTAACTGAATATATCTACTCATGTAGATATAATTAACTGAGTATATATTTAGTGTGTTTCATGGTTCAGTGTCTATATGGTAGCTGTATAGAGGTACCTGAAATAAGAAAGAAAAGTTTTAACAGCTTTCAGTGTGGCCGTAATATTCTGTTGTGACTGTATTTTTTGAGGCTGACAATATGATACCTGCTCAGGAGAAACTGAAGTTGGCATTTGTCACTGTTAAGTATGATTGTATGTAAAATGGCCTAAGTATGGCTCTACAACATATCTTCTATTATGCAATAAGTAAGGGCTATGTTTATAAGATCTAGCAATATTAAAAGAAATCTATACATGACAATTGTCAAAGAAAGCTACATAATATAAGCAAACTAATAAAGTTGTTGGTATCAGCCTATATTTGAAAATGATTTATATTTTATGGTTTCTCTTTGTGTTTTATTCAAGACATTAACATTAGATTATTTTCTAATAAAATTTTGAATGTATATTCAAAATTAAAATACCCCTAAGGTAACAGAATTCAGTTAATGGTGAATGTCCATAAAACATAGAGTGTAGACAGCATGCCCATTTGCTGAACCATTGTTGCCACTCAGCCAACTTGTAGTATGTGCAATCTTTTCCAGAAGGTTCTTAGTGGGTCAATATTTCTGGATACTGTAGGAAAATTAAGGTAAGATATCTTTTCTTATTGTTTTTATGTGTATTGCAAAGTTATTGCAACCCCTTTGTTACTGAATTTTTACTAGGACAGCTTCAGGCTAAATAAGACCCAAAGCATTGAGAACAGTGTAATTTCCCCTCAAAGACCCAAATTAATGCTAAAATCTAACTACTCATGATTGTCGCAGGATTTCCACTCAGTTCAACAGCAATGAATACCTTAGAATCAGACTCGTTAGCACCCGGTGTTTGGCATCATTAATACCAAAATGCTTTTGGAATTACATACTTGTACTAAAATCCTGATGTTAATTTTTATTGTTTCCTACAAATTAGTTATCATTATACACATCAATTTTTTCATATGTAAAATCAATATAGTGATACAGCACTCACGAGATTGCTGTGTAAAAAGGAAACGAAGATAAAATATGTTAAACAGCACGATGTCCACCTAGACCAGTGCTGGACCCTCGCAGGACTGCCTCCATCCTCCTTCTGAGGAGTTTGGCCCCAAAGAAAAGAGGGTTATCTCATCCTGGCTAACACGGTGAAACCCCGTCTCTACTAAAAATACCAAAAATTAGCTGGGCGTGGTGGTGGGTGCCTGTAGTCCCAGCTACTAGGGAGGCTGAGGCAGGAGAATGGCGTGAACCCGGGAGGCGGAGCTTTCAGGGAGCCGAGCGCACCACTGCACTCCAGCTTGGACGACAGCGGGAGACTCTGTCTCAAAAAAGAAAAAGAAAGAAAGAAACGAGGGTCATCTGTTAATGACGTTAACTGAGAAGAGCATTCTCTTTCTGTAGCAAAAGCCAATGAAGCAGACAGATAGGCAAAACAATTTTCTCTCTCAAAAACACCTCACGTTCTGATGTAAATGATCAGATGACACTTCAACAGCCAGCTTTCCTGCAACCAATACCATCAATTCAAGGAGCAAATTCATAATTGTTCCATTAAAGGAGCAAATTCATAATTGCTCCATTAAAGGAGCAAATTCATAATTGAGAAGTTAAAATATTGGAGGGTGGTAACTTTTGGGAATGTTAATACTAGTCAACTCCTCTGAGTCATAGCATCTTTATCAATACCTGTGTTCTTCAGTTGAAATAATCAGAATAGCTTTGTAAAGTAATTGTACTCATTTTTAATTTTAATTTCCCCCATATAAATTACAAAATATATAAAGGATGTGATATTATATACATTATGATTTAGATGCTGTGGTATCTCCTAAGTCATGATTAACATATTTTACTCACTGCTAGATGCGTCATCTTGTCTTCAGTACCAAATACGGTTCCAAAAATTACTCTGTGTTCAACAACCATTGTGTTCCTATTTGTATTAAATATTTCAATGATGACATTTATTTAACGTTTTAATATTTCTAGATTCGAATAACAGTACTTGAGACACTTTGGTAAAGAAATGACTTTCACTTTCACAGCCTACAATTAACTAGTGTATAAGGGATGTCTCTGTACTAAGAAAAGAATTACTCTGAAGCAATTCAAACAATGATGATTCTCTTGAAACTAAAATACAAAATCAAATATCTCTTTCTCATTTTTTTGGAAATGAGATTTATACTCAAATATGTTAGTTTGTACAAAATAGTCAAGCAAAATAACTAATTTGCAGGTTTACATACATGAATTATGGTATATGATAGAAATAAATATAAATATTTAGCATTTAATTCTGAGTTATTGTTATTCAGTACACCATCAAAATTCTATTGGCAGACAAATGTTGAAAAATGGTATTGAAACCTTACACGGAGTTTCTACTTTCTTATCCACCAAGCTTTATTTCACGAGTGAGGGAAGTGACCGCTTCAGAAAGAGCCAGACATTGTGGCATTATCTCTATGGCCTGACCTAATATTTTTTTTTTTTTTTGAGACGGAGTCTCATTCTTGTCACCCAGGTTGGGGTGCAGTAGCGTGATCTTGGCTCACTGCAACATTTGCCTCCCGGATTCAAGCAATTCTCCTGCCTCAGCCCCCTGAGTAGCTGGGACTACAGCCACCTGCCACCACGCCCGGCTAATTTTAGTACTTTTAGTAGAGATGGGGTTTCACCATGTTGGCCAGGATGGTCTCAAATTCCTGAACTCAGGAGATCCTCCCGCCTCGGCCTCCCAAAGTGCTGGGATTACATGTGTGAGCCACCACGCCCAGCCTTGCCTGAACTTTTAAGCATAATAATGCCAATGATTTGAACTAACTACTAAAGGAGACCGTTTAGGAACATCATGGCATGTTCCTAACATCATCAAGGCATGGGCCGTTTTGGAACATCAAAGAGTTAAGCGTCTTTTCTTTTCTCTTTGCTTTCCTTTTTTTTTTTTTTTAATTAAGCAAAAAGAAATTCAAATAACACACCCCCCTAAAGAAAGCAGACACTTGCATGGCAGAATCAAAACCCCAACATCATTCAATTGAAAGCAAACACATATGATCACTTTCATAAAATGGCATCTCCAAAGTAACCAGTTCCTCAAACTGAAATAAAACCTATTGCGTTTTTGGCCGGGAGCGGTGGCTCACGCCTGTAATCCCAGCACTTTGGGAAGCCGAGGCGGGCAGATCACGAGGTCAGGAAATCGAGACCATCCTGGCTAACGAAACCCCGTCTCTACTAAAAATACAAAAAATTAGCTGGGCGAGGTGGCGGGCGCCTGTAGTCCCAGCTACTCGGGAGGCTGAGGCAGGAAAATGGCGTGAACCCGGGAGGCGGAGCCTGCAGTGAGCCGAGATCGCGCCACCGCACTCCAGCCTGGGTGACAGAGGGAGACTCCGTCTCAAAAAAAAAAAAAAAAAAAATTGTTTCTTTTTAAATTGCTTACTGTTTGATCCGTTAGATTTTATTGTAAGTCAGTGCCAGCTTTATTCAGTGTTTTATACCTACAACATACCACGTTGCCCAGTCTCAGTGGATATTTAGGCAGTATCTGTAGATTGAATAAATTAATGTCAAATTTACTAGCTTTTTTGTGAATATAGTTATAGATGTTGATAGATATTTCCACACTATACTAAAGCCAGCACAGGTAATTTTTCTTCCCAGTCCCGAGTGAGTACTTGAATCTCAATGCAGAATACTTCTCTTGGAGTGTGTCTCCTATGAAACCTTAAATCATCTAGACACACTAGACAGAGAAAGAAACAATACATAGATAAAAATTGAGCACAATTAATTTGTATCCAGCAGAGGGAAAATTATGCTCTGTGGAACAAACAAACAAAGGAGTTATTTGCCCTAAAAAAAATGAATTGACAGTCACACCTCAGGAAGTTGATGCAAAGGCGCAGTCTCTAATGGAGGCCAGGTGACTCTATTTATAAAGAATATTTATGCACATATGTAGATTAAAGCACTGGGGAACTCTTTAATAAACTGTTGCTTGTTGTTGTTATTGTAGTGTCTATAGTGTCACAAACTTCCCTGCCCCCCACCACCACTTTCTACGTGATACTTGTTTAAGAGAGTAATAGATGCATGGAAATCTTTTAACTTACTGCTATCAGTTGTCAGTTCTATTACATGTTTCATCCCAATTCTGCTTTCCAAACATCATATGATCAATTCTTACAATCTCTTATGAAGTAATTGAATTCAGATTTAATAATAGGTATCATTGTCCCCAGCATTCAGGTTTGGGAACTTTGAAAGAGAATGGTTAAATGAGTTTTATAAAGCACATATTAAAAGAAATGTGTTGGCTTATAAGGAATAACTGAGACAAAAGAAATTTAGAAAAGCTAAGAGAGGGGGTCAGGATATAAATGACATCTCCTTAGGTAATTAATGATATTACAAAGTGAGACATTTGACATGCACTGCCCAATAAGAGTCACAAGCCTCATATAAATATTTAAAATTAATGTAACTAAACAATATTTAAAAATAAATGCTTCATTTTCACAAGCCACATTGCAAGTGTGCCAGGCTAATGCCAAGAAAAGTACATTTATATTGTTACTAGGGTTATCAATAGATAACCCTACTTACTAAGTTTACTCCATTTTGACATTTAATGTGGTACAATAATTTGTGTTTAAATAAATTTGATTCTTATCTCAGTTTAACACATTGCCATCAGTTTTGCTTTGGATATATTTTTATATTAATTTTCATTGTCATTATTGTCATTATTGTTGGAATTATTACAATTATTTGTGAAAGAACATTCAAAGTTAAATTCTTCATTGAATCCCCTCTTTCCCTGAAGTTTTATTTGTTCAACTTAGCAGATCTGAATTGATGATTCTTGGTTCTGAAAAGCCTGGTTTATATTGAATTGGTCTAAAATATGCCGGGAAAGAAGCTGAAAACTCAGAAGTGTCTTCAGTGATTCTACTGTAAAATAAGAGAAATGTTTCAGCCTTTACAATATTTTGTAAAACACTAGGGAATTCCTTAGATTAAATTCAAACCCCAAGATGTCTCAAATCTGTGCTGCTCCAGAACTCTTACTGTAGAGACCTAACTACCTTTGATAGTGAGAGGCCCACATTAATAATTACTTGCTTCACTGCATTCTGACTGTTTTATTCACTCAATACATTTTTACCTCCTTTTCAAAGCCATCTGAAATAATTTCTTTCTCAATAGATAAGTCTGAATAATCTCATTCAACATTGACTTTGCTTTCTCTCTTCTGCCGGTATCTGTAGAATTGAGCCTGAGTTGAGGTAGTTGGGTGTAGTGGTTGGGGAACAGATTACTAAATCAGACATACCTGGCTTTTAACCCATTCCTTGTAATTTATCAGCAGAATAACACGGGAACTTGGCCTTTCTAGGTTTGGTATCCTTGTGCACACCATTTGGCCCAGGGAGAGCATTCAATGACTGTGTATTGCCAGGATTATGATAATAACATGAGTAGGGTTATGTTCTGTCCTTGTTTCTTAAATATTATGTTTTCCATCATATTTTGTAAATGTCTCAAATTCAGTAATCACTTATATACATGTACTTTATCTGGTTTAAACTGAATTTTATAAAAGTGTTTCTTAGAGATCCCAATCTCTTTTTGGTATATACATAGGGATGTTTAGATGCTTTCAAAGAAATTGTACAGATTGTCAATAATAGCATAAATGAAATGTTCAAACAGATTTTGAGTGTGTTAGCCTTAAATGTCTATATTTACTCATTCACTTATGATTAATTTATTGAGACTCTACTAGATGCAAAGCACAATCAGGTAGGCATAGTTCTTGGCCTAATTGTGCTTGTGTATTTATTTATTTATTTATTTATTTATATTTATTTTTCAGGAGAGACTACAATTAATTCTTTAATGCTTTGAAAACCAATGTAAGTAATGCTGAAATTTACAAAAGATGAGGTGCTGAGATTTCATAAGCCAAGTAAAACAACACCTTACTCTGGGGCACAGAGAATGCTTGTTAAATAGAATGACATTTAATATGAGAAGATAAGAATAAACAGGTATAAGTCATCCAAAGATTGGACTAGAAATCTTGGTACAGTGATGGGTGTGAGAGCTGGGGTCTGGGAATTTTTAAAACATTCCAAACTGAGGGAACAGAATGTGCAAAGGCCCTGGGGTAGAAAGGAAACTGAAGCATCTAGGGACTTAAGAAAGATTGCTGTGAAAACTAAGGCACAGAGTTAGGGTCTGTGACATAGGTCATACTCTGATGTAGAGTCTGAGAGGCAATTGTATTTCAGTTTCTATTTTTAGAGCAATGGGAAGCTACTAAATTGTTTTAGGCATCGGAGAGATATAATCAGTGTGAATTTGTAAAATATAACTTTGACTAAGGTGAGCAAAATGGATTGGAGAGTGGCAAAATTGATGCAGGAAGAAAAATAGATGTCTTATTATAATATCAACAATAACAATATGGGCATTTGTTCCTGTCATTAATGTCTGTCATTGAAGCCTCACAGTAGCCAAGTAATGAAATTCCATTAATAACCCATTTTGAGAAAACATCCTTAAGATGTAAAGTTTCTTTCCCCAAATCTCTTAGACGTAGAGATATCCAGATGATAGAATCTAGATTTAATTTCAGACAAAATATCCAAGGGAAAAAAAAATAAAAAATATCCAAACTGATGACTTGCTTGAACATTGGTGGATAACACTAAAAATCAATAAAAATCATCCAATATGAGGAAAACCTGTACAATTTCTCAGTCATATATTGTAAAATAGGTGGAGATCAACTAATGTTTGCTATCATGCTTACAAATAATATCTCCCTGTTGGAAAAATATGTTATATATATATGTAGGTATGTGTGTGTGGATGTAATAATCATACAACTAAATTAACTATTAACTGATTTCAATTAAAATTCTTGCTGTTTTCCAGTAAACTTGATTTCCAAATCACATACATGATAATTTCGTTTATTTTTTTAATCTCTTTCTACCACTTAAAGATCTAGCTCTTAAGTTGCTTAATGAGTGCAGAAATACAGTGAAATAGAAAGGATAAGATCTAGTATTAAGTAGTGCAGTGGAGAAGTTATTGTTAAAAATAATTTATTGCATTTTCAAAACAGCTGGAAGAGAAGAATTTTAATGTTTTTAAGACAAAAAAGATAAATGTTTGAGATGATATCTATCCTAATTACAATTAATTACACATTGTATACATGTATCAAATATTAAACCTATCTCTAAAATATGTACAACTAAAATATTATAGCAATTTAAAAATATAGTAATCTCTCTCTTTGGTCTCTCCACTCAGCTGTATTTCACGTGTTTTCAGGAGGTCCAGCAGCTTAATGCTTAAAAGCGTAAACTAAAGTTACAGAGCTTCAGCTGATACCCATTTCGTTCATCTTACAAAAAAAATGTATCTTTTCGGTGCCTGTTTCTTCACCAATGCAAGGAAGTTATCAATATCACCTTCCTCATTAAGTGGATAAGGCATGGAAAGAGCATGAGAACATGCCTGGGACATGGCAAGGCTTAAGGAAGATTGGTTATTAAATGCTATCTGTTGACAAAATAGAAGCTTTCCTCATGCTCATATCGCCAAAGCCTCAAACTTACATGCTTCTGCACCTCTCCCTGCATTGTTCTTCTCTTACTCAGGAGGTAGAATTTCTCCTTGTGTCACAAGCCCTGTGTGGAGTCAGTCTTCTGAATCCCATCACCCGTCTTGTTCTCAAGGGCCCTTCTCCTTTAGGAACTTTCCATGTGCTGCACTATCTCTCCCGCTCTACTGAACCTGCTTTCATTAGCATGTGAACGTTCTTATGTCTCCCATCTTAAAAGAAACAAGATATACTCCCGACATCCTTTAGTTACTTTTTTTCTTTCTTTGCTTCCCATTGCAGGCACATTTCTAGAAATAACTCTTACTAGTCTCCATTCTCTTGAATCTCGGTCACAAATGTGCTACTCTGATCAAGATTCTCCACCCACTGCTTCTTAAAGCATACTCTTGTCATGTTCCATCTTGCCAAATCCAAAGAAAGTCTCCCATTGTTCCATATTCTGCAGAACAATGCGTCAAGGCATTGCCGATTGTCTGATTTCCATGTTCACTTAAGCAATTTAATTGACATCTCTACAAGGAAAAATGTATAGATTATATGAAACTCATCCAATAGAGAACTGTTGATCCATAATCTACCTCTAGTCTTCAGACTATAAATTCTTCTAACCACTGAACAGTTGCTCAAGGAAGATCCTAGTAATTATTCTGGATTCCTTTATCCTCACCAACCCTCCCCCTCCCTATACCACTTCTATACCTTTCAAAAAATTTTCCTCCCTCTTCCCCTCTCCAGAGTGCCAATGCTTCTAATCACTACTTCTTTCACTTTCATGTTGACAACTATGATACATTGGCTGGACTGATGCCACAGTCTTTTTTTTTTTGAGACAGAGTCTCGCCCTGTCGCCCAGGGTGGAGTGCAATGGTGCGATCTCAGCTCACTGCAACCTCCACTTCCCAGGTTCAAACGATTATCCTGCCTGAGCCTCCTGAGTAGCTGGGATTACAGATGCCTGCCACCACACCCAGCTATTTTTCATATTTTTAGTAGACATGGGGTTTCATCATGTTGGCCAGGCTAGTCTCGAACTCCTGACCTCATGATCCTCCTGCCTCAGCCTTCCACAGTGCTGGGATTACAGGCGCGAGCCACTGTGCCCAGCTGCCACAGTCTTCTAACTAGTAACACTTTCTTCTCTCATAGCCCTCTCAAAATGTTCTCCACAAAGTTGCCAGAATGATCTTTAGAAAATAAATATCTAAGTATGGCATTCTCTCCTGTATCTGTCATAGCAATGGCTTACTGCACATAAATTTCACCTGTGTCTTTTCAATACTCTATACTCAATATAGGGCAGCACCTAGTAGATCTTTAGTAAGTGAGTGAATAATCCTTCAATTATTTTATAGTCACATCTAGGAGTAAGGCTATGGGTAACGGTCAAAAAACACTAGACAAAAAGCCTCAGCACTGCTACCAGCTAGTATCATTTCCCTGAGTTTCAGTTATCTATTCTCTAAAGTGATAATAACAACTGTAGAATAACTCTAGCATATAAGACTTAAACGTGCTAACAAACATAAATCAATTAGTCATATGATATCATATGACAAATCAATTAGTCATATGACTTGTTATATATGATGATGGTGATGAGGATAGTAATGATGACAGTGATAAGGATAATAATGATGACGGTGACAAGGATAGTAATGATGGTGATAAGGATAGTAATGATGGTGATGACTATAGTAATGATGATGGTGATGACTATTATCTAATGTATCTGAAAATAAAATTTTTATCTCTTATTTTTAAAAGAGATGGTAGTAATTACTAAAGGAAACTTTGAAGCCTATATATCTCTAGAAATAAAAGATATTAATAAAAATGGAAATTTTAGACAACATCAGGAAGAATAGCTAATTGACGCTGGGCTTAATTCCTGGGTGATGGGTTGATCTGTGCAGCAAACCACCGTAGCACATGTTTACCTGTGTAACAAACCTGCACACCCTACACGTGTACCCCAGAACTTAAAATAAAAGTTGAAGGAAAAAATGGAAATTTTATGTTAAAAAGTTACTTCATTTTTATAAAATGCTGCTGTGTGCTTATTTATCTTGATTCTAACAACAAATTATTTTCAAATCAGTGATGACCACGTGGTTTATTAAGCAGATAGGCAAACAGTACAAGAAGCTTTCTGTAAAATATGCAAGGCAGAGAATGTTGGCTCATGGCCACTGGACATGATATTTTCAAAACAGAAACAAGCATTTCCTTAAATTATTCATATTTCCCAAATAATTTCTCTAAACTGAACTCTTTTTCATAGTGGAATATGGGAACAACTGCGGTGGTATTAACCATCAGAAAAATGACTTCGTAACATTTCATAGTAGGTGAAATAAATGAAAAAGCTGGTGCTTGACTTTGAAAGCGAGCATTTTCTGAGAAAAGGGCAAAAATTTACCTGTGAATTGGAAAGATGTCAAGTGAATTGTCCTTTTCCTTTTAATTGAGATCACATCTTGTGTCTTTCTGAATTTCATTTGTTTCTTTTTGCAGGTTGCAATTAGTGTAGGATATTTATAATGACACTTGAGAGACAAATGTTGTCAGCTTCTTGCTCTTTTTTTTCTTATTTCCTGTGTATAACAGCTAAAACAATTTGGATTCAATTCAATGGAGCACACATTTTCTTTCCTTTTCAGACATTTAAGCCTACATTAGAGTTTAAAAGACCTTCAGTAAACTCTCCCAGCCTCTATCCAAGGGAAAAAAAAAATCAATTTTCCGGGATTTCTAAAGCTCTTTTTTTGGTTTCCATAGCAGTCAAGGGCAAGCTGAGAAGAAGAAGAAGAAAAAGATTTATTTCCAACTCTAAGTGAAAGCTGAGTCCCAAGATAAAAGAAAAAGTCAAGCATAATGAGAAAAAGAAAGCAAACTCTGATAGGTCCTTACTGAATATGGACTTTGTTCTGAAAATTCAAAGAGTCATAAATTACAGGAGAACGTAGAACATCATCTGTGTCATTGAGGCTCTACCTATTGCTTGAGTGGGGAGCTGAGCAACAATACACAGATGGAGGGCAATGAATTTATGAAATTATGTGCCAGCTTCCAGGATAGGACTTGAAATGTGCTCTTGCTGTTGGCACCAGAATTGGGGCTTTGTGTGCTCTAATGCCAGTACTGCATGCTCATGCTTTGCTTTTTGTGCCAAAGTTAGATGTTCAGATTTGAAAGCTAAAATTTATCAAATTTTAGCACTGCCTCTCCAAAGCCAAATGATAATGGTATAAAAAGGGTACTTTTTTCTTCAATTCAAAAGTAGAACTGCCACATTAAAATAAATTCACTCTCCTCAAAAAATTCAGATATGAAACATTTCTCTGTCAATGGTGTCATTTAAAAGATGCTAGAAAGCTTTTTCTGTCTACTCCTTTTCTTTGCATTGTGTACTATGGAATTGTGTCAATTTTGCTGGCTTTTAGCTTTAGATGTGTATTTATTTTCTCTGTCCCAGATTCTAGTAAGTCTTCTTGAACTTTTGAACTGCTTTAACACAAATAGTGATTCTTTAGAAGACATTAAGGTGATCATATTAAATAAAATAGTCTTCATCTAATTAAAAAATGTAGCTCCATTGAAAGCTACAATCTCACCAAGCTATTTCATCCTGAGGACACAAAATTATTTTGCATTTTATACTACTGAAGCTCTTACATATCTTTTTCTGGATACATAATACTCATAATATGAAAGGACATAGAAGCTTTCAATATTTGCTATAATGAAAAATGGTAATTAAATGTGCTCACATTTCACCCCAGGAGTCCCAAACTCTGTGAAGCAATTCTCAATCCTTTTTTTGCACAGTGGAACCACATAAGGACCAATATAAAAAGTACCTTTGCCCTCACCCTGCCCCAGACAAATTAATTCAGAATCTCTGAGAGTAAGGCAGAGACATCAATGCATTTCAAAATCTTCCCGGTTGATTGTAATGTGGAAGTAGAGTTGAAAACACTCCTCTATGGAAATGGATACTCTTGTCTTTGTGGAAGTAAAACAAATACATGTTAAAGGAGTACAACCAATTAAAGAGTAATCCTAGATCAGTTATCCTAAAAGGAAAAGAATACAGATTACCTATGTAGTCACTTCACTTACCAGTTAGTAAGATGAGAATAAGGGATTTTATAAAAATTTACCACATGTTCTTGTTTTTACTTCCCTTTGCATTTCCTTTATGTATATTTCTTCATAGGAACATTAGCATATGGATAATATAAGAGTATAAGACTTGTTTGTGGGAAGGGAATGCTTGTTGTTACATATTGTCTAAAAATATTGTACACAGAAAATTATCTACTGAAAAACTACAACGCAAATATTAATACCTTATTTGCCTAACTATCCCAGCAGCCCAGGATTAGAGGTCAGGCATAGAACCCGCCTCCTTTGGCATAAGACACTGGGAACCAACCTTTTTGGCACAGGTACGTGATCTGGCCAGCCAGCGAAAGTGTTTGCTTTGTGGTTATTTATGATGGGAGAAGCCTGAACCTCTCCTCTGGCATTATGGGGTCTGGTGTGCTTGAGGTTTGGCCAAGATTGATTGTGTTAAACCCAAGGTCATTAGTATTTTCCCGTGGGGCATTACTAAAGGCCTACACTTTTCCTGGGAATCTAACCAGTTGAGGATCAATCTTGAGCAAGCTAACAAATACCACTGTATCTACTGCTCTCAATCAAAAGACAGCAGTCTACCTATTCTATCAGAAACTCATACTGTTTAGTGCATGAGAGCTGTCGGGCTAATCTCAAGCAGGCCAAGAGGTATTAGAAGCTGGTTAGAAGTGGCTGAGTGTCACCCTGGGGGCACAGGACCATGTGGACTTGAGGCTGGCAGAGAAGGGTCATTTTTAAGAGAAGCCAGTGGGCATACACTGTCTAATCTATTACCTATGACAGCTGAGGCCTTCTGGGTAAGTCTAGAACAGCTTGGTTCAAGAGTCCAGGAATGCCTTGGGTCCCAATCATCCCGGGGGAAGGAGGAGCCATCCTGCCCAGCTTGCTAAACTACATGTCCTAGCCTAGAGCTTTCTATATGTTGGCTTTAAATCCAAACACATGGACTCCATGAAATAATGCTAGCTAATATGTATCGGGAATTGAATATACTCAGGAACCATGCTAAGTGTTTCCACTCAGTGTTAATTTTTCTTTACAACAACTCTGTTGATGAATTATTATTACTTCCACTGTTAGGGGGGCAAATTGAGGCATTAAGAGGTAAAGCCGCTTGCCAATGATTATGAGGCAGGTAAGTGACAGAGCTTGATCTCAAACCGTGCAGTCTGGCTCCAGCTTCTCCACCATGGTGGCTTGTCACAGGCATTTTGTATAAATGAGTGAAGTACATGTTGTGGAAAATAAATTATTGAGAAGCAAAAGTGACTATGGAGAAATTGGTTAAAAAGTTATCGCAATAGTTAATGTGAATTAGAAAAGGACATGTCATTGGAACAGGAAAAAAAGTGGAACAGGAAAAAATGAACAGACTCAAAAGATACTCAGGAGGTTGAATCAGCAAAGACTTGGTGAATGGGTGGTGGTGGTGGTGAGTAAGCAAGAAAGATGCATCAATCATTATTCTCCATTTTCTATCCTGTGAAATGAGATAGGGAGCACTGGAGATAAAGGAGGTGTGGGTCTGGAAGATCATCAATTTCATTTTGGACATGATAAATTTGAGGTGACTATAATATTTCAGTTTACATAATCAATCAGGTTATTGTGTTTTCTATTTACATCACCTCTGATGATCATGGAAGATGCATTGGCAGGAGTTTTGAGTTGGGTACTCCAGGGAAGTATTTTATGGGCATATAATAAATTATAAAAAAGTGAAATAGAGAAGATATCTTCAGAGACCATATTAAGCAACTTGTTATTTATAGACCAGGCAATGAATGGAAGGCCAACGGCACATCATATTGGGAAAAGCTGTCTATAGAAGTAGCAAAATGATGCCTTGAAAAAGAAACTCACTTGTAAATAAGATGGAAGAAAGCAAAGTATAGTTTTAATAAGACAGATAAATAAAAAATGAAACCAAAAAGCCTGATGATTACCAGGATTATGGCTAGGTATCTATAAAGGATACAAAGATCCTTACATGATTTATAGTCCAGGTGTTATAGAAACAATACTGAAGTGATTATAAATTTTGTAACTGGTATAGGGGAATTATTTTCACTTAATTAATAGGAATATTTATTTTAATTAATTTATCCATCAATAGTGGTGATGAAGGAAACATGACAATAAACATAAGAATATAAATTTTGACAACTAAACATATATCTATGATCTGATCATTTTGATATATTTATCACTGAGAGTAAGGGGAAGAAAACAGTGTGTCTAAATATATTGAAGTATATCAGTAATGGAGGCTTGTGCAAGCTTCTTCCCACGGCAGATCAGGAATTGCTTGTGGACTGAATATTTGTGTCCCCTACCTCAAATGTCTATGTTGAAGCTCTAATCCTAATGTGATGGTATTTGGAGATGAGGCCTTTGGGAGGCAATTAGAATTAGATGTGGTCATGAGAATGGAGCCCTCATGATAAGCCTTGAAAATAGAGACACCAGAGAGCTTGCTCTCTCTCCCTGTGCCATGGGAACACACAGCACACAGCCAGGCAGCCATCTACAAGCCAGGAAGAGGTCTCATATCAGAACCCAACCATGCTGGCATCCTGATCTCCAACTTGCAGAACTGTGAGAATGTAAATTTTTGCTGTTTAAATCATCCGGTCTGTGATATTTTGTGATAGCAGCTCAAGCTGCTAGTTATCTTAGCCATCAACCAAGATTAAGAATTACTGCAGATACTACTGAATACATTTATAAACCCTACTCCATTTTATTCAGATACTTACATAAATGTTTGCCTAGTCCATCCTCAAAAAACAATTCCCATGTACTCTTGAGTCATTAAGTAACTATTGATTTATTCTTTATCAAACTTAATAAGTTGGATTCTACTAACAGTCTTTCCAAAAACCACCCTATTTATGCATGTACATTGTTAATACTATTATATGTAAATATGTCTCTCTAAATACCATCCTATTTATGCATGTGCATTGTTAATACTATTAAAAAATTCTCATTAGAAATAGTTACATAGTATACATTATGGGGAGCACTAATCATTGTAGAAATAAGATTTAGATAAATCAATATGTTATGGATATGGTACAGATACAGATACAGGAAGTCTATACACAGTCACTTTACAATATTCAGCAGTTGAATTGAATTGAATATAATTGAATTCAGGCATTTAATTTAAATTCTGAAAACATGTTCTAAAACCTAGACTCTCAACTCTGTAAAAAACAACACTCTTCTCTGTTTTCTATGATTGCACAAAGTACATTCTTTTTATATGGAAGGTGCTCAGTGGTTCTTGCCAACAAATATACCTACATATAAAGTATATCTCCTGAGATAATGTCTTCATTCTATTTTTTAATTACTTTAAAAACAAACAGTCTAATTAGATTGTTTATGTAAACCTTTTTAGGTTCAATTATTTTTTTAATTTCAATTGTGTGTGTGTGTGTGTGTCTCTGTGTGTGTACTTGTACATGCATACACATGTACATAAGCTACTTATTTTTTTCTTCCCTACCACTTTTACTTAAATGATTAGAATAAACCAAAAATTATTTACTGAAGTACTGAAAATCTATTAATTTCTTTCAGGAAATACTTGACAACATTAACGATAATAAAAGCATCTCCTGCCTTCAATGTGCTCTTCCTCTTTAGTTTGAAAGAAACACGAGAAGGGAACCCTGGAAAGGCATTGGGAAGCCTGAGTCCTGCCCTCCATATTGTCAAATAGGACTTGTGGCACTTTTGTAAAGCTACTTAATCTTTTGGAATCTTAGTGTCCTTACCTGCACAATGGACATGGTAGTGCCTGACTCATGGTGTTACAAAGATTAAAGATTATTATTTAAATTAGGGTTCAGCAAGGTAGCTGGAAGAAAGCAATAATTTGGTCTTTTTTGCTATCCTGTTAAAAATAATGGCCACACAGAGCAATGAATGGGGTAATACAGATACTTACCAATGCTTCTGGAACTGAGAAAGTGTAAAAAAAAAAAAAATTAACTTTGCTAAAGTGGGATCTGTTGTAAACTGATGGGAGTGCAGAAGGCAGACAAAAGAAGAAGGGCATTTGAAGCAGAGACAGTGTTCTGATGCCACTGTATACATAAATATGAAAGACTAAGAAGCAGGGGGAGTAAAGGAGAGGGTAAGGAAAGATACATGCAAAGGTGGAGCTAAAGTGTCATTAATATGGGACGTAACAGAGACACATGCTGGCTTTTTTTTTTTTTTTTTTTTGATACGGAGTCTCGCTCTGTGTTGCCCAGGCTGGGTGCAGTTTCAGCTCGCTGCAACCTCTGCCTCCCAGGTTCAAGTGATTCTTCTGTCTCAGCCTTCCAAGTAGCTGGGATTACAGGCACGTGCCACCACACCTGGCTTACTTTCGTATTTTTAGTAGAGATGGGGTTTCACCATGTTGGCCAGGCTGGTCTTGAGCTCCTGACCTCAGGGGATTCACCCTCCTTGGCCTCCCAAAGTGCTGGGATTACAGGCGTGAGCCACTGCACCTGGCCACATGCTGGCTTTTAAACAGGACAGTAACATAATCCGAATGCATTTGGAACTATTTGTATAGTGGCACTGAGACCAGTTGAATTTGTTGACATAGATATCAATGGACACAATCCAGGCTAGAGAGGACGATGGCCTCAACCATGGCAGTAATATTAGGAATAGATAAAAGGTGGCAAAGGCAGTCATACCTGGAACATAGAATAAAAAGCAAAGCTTCCCCTTGATCCTGTTTCTACCATAAAGCTCCATGGTCTAGTATGACAACTACTTTTTCAATAGTATGCTAAGCTCCCTTCCCACTTACTTCTTTGTTTTCCTTGTAAATGCTACTACAGTTCAACTTTAACTCAGTCCAGCAATTTCTCCCAATCCTGTATGGAGAATGTAGCATACAAATGGTTCAAGAAAATATTACGGGCTAAAGGTAAAGATTTAGAATACTCAATATGAAGTTGGTAGTCGATCTACAAGCAGGGAGAAACATTCTTTAGATCTGTTTTTCTACCTTCTTGCCAGGCATCACTAGCATGACTCTCCCTAGACAGTTTGAATTTAACATGTCTAAAAAGGAATTCATTGTCTTTTCTTCTGACATCTACTTCCTTTACTTTGTAGCTTGTCAGTGATCTATACAACTTCCAAAGCCAAGTAGAAGCAATGAAGCTATCTTCACTTTAAAACATTCTCTCAGATGCAATTTGATGCCACCTATTAAGCTAGGGTCAGAGAAAAAAAAGTGACTAAATTTTGCCATTTGAAGAAGCTTCAGCAAGAGGGAGTACAGAGGATACTAATTATTTTAGATGAGTACTTAGTTCACATGCTTCCTCGGCGCTGTATCAACAGTATCCTTGATTAGTCCTCCTCCTTATTAATTTATCATCTAAAATCATTTTTTTCATTGAGCCCAGTCCCATTTTGCATTAGAAGCTGTGCCACAGTGTACTATGTATTTTGCATTTGTTTTGCTGCAAGTATAGTGAATGTGATGAGTTATGTGTCTATTTCTCAAGAGGGAATTATGTCTCTAGACCAAACAGGAAAGTTGAATTAATGTAAATGTTTATGATTCCTGCCTGACTAAATTACATTCCTTGACATTAATTCGCTAATTTACCTTTGGGGAAGAATATGTACGTATACTTCCCTCATTTATTAGGTTATCAAATATGCATGATTGACTCTGGCATGAATGCAAATAGTAATTTCTTCTCTTCATATTCTTGGTTTACAGTCAATTAAAATTGTCTTCAAGTAACATTTATACTAAACGTTTACTGATATTCTTTCTTACCCTAGTTAATTCACTCTAGTCATATTTATTGAGCATATACTATGAAACATATTTAAAATTTTTCTTATTTAAAATAGTTTGAAAACAGTGGAAATAAGCTAACATAATGCACTTTAATGTAATGTGTAAATGTTGTTAGATGAAAATAACCTATATAATCATAAGCTGAAGGATGAAGTTGATAATATAGATACAGTATTAAGAAACCAAATATGCCACTTTAGGCCCTTGATTTCAGTATATTTGCCAGTATAACTCCCCAGTTTATCAGCCAGTTTCATGAGGGTAATATACTAGCAAGGCATTTTAGTTATCTGTTTTAGTGTAAGAAATGCAAGGTGTTTCCTAATAAAACCACATTATTTACAAAGATAGGGACCCTTAATACATTTATAGTTTTTATGATTCCAATAAGAACATAAAGAAAACCTGTGAATAATTAGCTTAATATTTTATCAAACAGTAATAGCAATACTCCAATTGAAGACATTAAATTGGACCATATCTTATTAATTAAAAGATGGCACTACTTAGAATCTTTTTTTAGTATAAAATGACTTCTCTCGCTTAAATCACTGTTTAATAGCTAATTAATGTAACAGTTTTTCAGTTATTAGTTTGGCATACAGATTAATATCTTCTATGTTATATTAGCACATAATGTTTTGTAGTAAGTCCCTTGATTTCTTACTAACATATTTCTTTTGACTGATATCATTCATAACTCAGGCATTTTTTTTGAAAGAATGAATGAATGAATGAACAATTTTTAATCTAAATTTGGTAGAAAGCATTGCAGAACTAAAATTTGAGGTAATTTCTCTATTCCCTTCTATTAGTACTAGCTTTTAATTCTTCTTTAAATACATATTCTATTTATATGTATACTTCAAAGTCTCTTGGTATTTTATTGTGTGCCAATGTATTAAAATAAAATCACTTATGGTTGAATACTCTATTACAATGTTTTTAAAAGCATTTTGCCTTTGAATATATATCTTCGATTTGAAATTTTTGTGAGTGAGGAGGTAAATCATATCTTTGCAAGTGTCATTGTATACTTCCTAATTGAAAAAAAATTAGGCTTACACAGGTGTATATAGAAGCTTTAACTATGTAAAATGTAAAGCAATAGCAATAACAATACTAATGCTGTAACCTCAACAGCAATCACATATAAAATATGCAGATTGTACTGACTGATAGAAGTATGATGTTGGCATAATTAATCTGCTAATTGTGTCATCTTGAACACACACCCAACTATTGTGATGAAGGATAAAGGCAGGCTTTAGGCTATTGCTTGGATTCAATTTTAAGGAATATTCCACCCAGATCAGGGAGGCATTATATGCTGTGTCTTATTTAAAATGTTGCCATTTGGCACCTAATTCCTGGGGCAGAATTCCAACCAAATTGTAAGTAGGAATGATGCCAACCTAACAGATGGGCCTAATGTGCCAAAGCCAAGAGTCCATGCTCACATATCAAACGTGTTTACTTAGGGCAGGATTCCCAGTTATAAATCTTCAAACATGTTCAGAAAAACTGTGCCAGCATGAAGAGGTTGCCCTTTCTTTAATCCGTCTAGAGGGAGGATTAACCTTGAATTTATTTTTAGAGAAGCAACTTAGCTACAAAAGTCCTTTATCTTTGTAAGCTGGAGAAAGAATAGATAGTTATGGATTCATATATTTCATGCCTGTGTTATTAGTCTAATGTTTATCTAATGGTTTATTATAGTTACAATAATATAACTATATATTATAGAATTATATATAATATATAACATATATTATAGAATTATATATAATATATAACATATATTATAGTTACAATAATATAAGTATATATATATAAAATGTCACTAATCCAAGTTTGTTATTGATTATATTCTTGTTAAACTACTGATCATTACTGATAAAGTGGCATAATGTATTGGATAAATTTTTTAATAGATTATTATATATTTCATCACTATTTCTATAATATTCACCCAAAGCTGTAAAGTTATAAATAATAATAACTTTCTAACTTTATAAGACAGTGAAAATTCATGTTTCACTGGGTCGTTTTTATCCACAGATGACTATTGACAAATAAGTGTAAAATGAGTAAGTTGCAAATGTTTTGTTGAGGCTAAGCATTATGATAACACATGTAATGAGGAAATATCTTAGAGAAAACTGGTGGAGAATTAGTGGTTTACTAAAACAGGCTGATATATATATTCCTACTTGAAGTTTAATGGATGCATAATAAAACCTGCTGAGGCTGAGCTTAGTTCACTAAGGTGGTTAAAACACTTCAACTCCATTGTTCTCTTCACATAATTTAACACATGACAGGGGCACCGAAGTTTAAAGAATGTTAAGTACTTAAAGGCCATAGTTTATAAAGAAAATATGAACCAAGAGGAAGATTATTCTTTTAGCTGCTTTCAGTGTGAGAACAATGTAAGATCCCCAAAGGCAAAACATGCTGTAAAAATAAAGCTTCTGAATGCTTTATATTCCATAAAAAATGAAATTCTAATCTTTAGATTGTTTTACGAGGATTGCTTCATTATTAGCAACAACTCTTATTTTACAAACTTTATATTTTTATTAAATAAGCAAAACATGTGAATAGTAGAGATATTAGACATTGTAAATGTACATACAGAAAAGGGCCAATAAGATGGGCATGGTGGCTCACACTTGTAATCCCAATATTTTGGGAGGCCGAGGTGGGTGGATCACCTGAGGTCCCGAGTTTGAGACCAGCCTGACCAACATAGAGAAAGCACTTCTCTACTAAAAATACAAAATTAGCTAGGCATGGTGGCACACTCCTGTAATCCCAGCTACTTGGGAGGCTGAGGCAGTAGAATCACTTGAACCAGGAGGCGGAGGTTGCGGTGAGCTGAGATCACGCCATTGCACTCCAGCCAGGGCAACAAGAGTGAAACTCCGTCTCAAAAAAAAAAAAAAAAAGAAAGAAAAAAGGCCAATGCATCACTCCAAATCCAACATCAGGCTTAAAAATGCAAACATTTCTTGAATATTTTTATATGTACATATGTATATTAAAATAAGATCACACCAAATATATAGTATGGACATTTGTTTTTTGTTTTGCTTTACTTAAAAATATATTGGGACCAGCTTCTAATTTCAAAGAATGAGCCATCTGCTGCATCCATTTTAAATAAACAGTATGCTCAGGGCATTTAGGTTGTTTGCCATCTTGCACCTTAAAAAAACCTGTAACTTCCTTAAACATATTGAATATATATTTTGGAATATATTTCTGAGTGTCTTCTGAGGTTCTAACCCTGTAAGTGGTATTGCCTGGTCAAATATTACACATATTTATGCATATTGAATTGCTCTGTAGAAAGTTAAGTTGAGTAAAACCTCATATGAATAATGCATAAGGATGTAACACCTACCTCTCCACAAAAAACGCTAGCTATAATCAGAAATATCTGTACCCTTTATCACCTGATAGGAAATGGGATGTGTTTTTAATATCTATATTCTTATGTCAAACTACTTTCAATTCTTTGGTCTAGGTCTCATTGACCAATTTTATTATTTTTGTTTTCTTGTTCAACTTTGTTTTAGAATCAGGGGGTACCTGTGCAGATTTGTTACATGGTTATATTTTATGATGCTGAAGTTTGGGATATGACTGAACCTTTTGCCCAGGTAGTGGGCATAGTACCCAACAGGTAGTTCTTCAGCCTTCGCGCCCCTCCCTCTTTCTCTCTGCCCACTAGTAGTCTCCAGTATCTATTGTTTCCATATTTATGTCAATGTGTACGCTTAATGTTTAGCTTCCACTTATATGTGAGAATATATGGTGTTTTGTTTTCTGTTTCTGCCCTAGTTTGCTTAGAATAATGGCCTCCAGCTGCATCCATGTTGCTGCAAAGGACATGATTTCATTTTTTATGGCTGCATAGTACTCCATGGTATATATTAACCACATTTTTTTTTTTAATCCTGCACACTGTTGATGAGCATCTAAGTTGATTCCATGTCTTTGCTATTGCAAATAGTGCTGCAGTGAGCATGCAAGTGCATATGTCCTTTTGGTAGAATCATTTATTTTCCTTTGGGTATATACCCAATAATGGGATTGCTGGTTCAACTTTTGTTATTTGAGAAATCTCCAATTTGCTCTCCACAGTGGCTGGACTAATTTATAGTCCCAATAATAGTGTATAAAGTCTCCCATTTTCTCCACAGCCTCACTAACATCTGGTATTTTTTCACCTTTTATCAAAAGCCATTCTGACTTGTGTGAGATGATGTCTATTTGTAGCTTTGATTTGCATTTCTCTGATGATCAGAGATGAAGAGCATTTTTTCATGTTTTTTGGCCGCTCTTATATCTTGTTTTGAGAAGTGTTTGTTTATGTAATTTCCTTGTTTCAACATAATAACAATAGAAAGTTATTTAGTTTTGTTATCTAATAATGATAGAAGGTTATTTTGGTATATTTTTTGCAGTTTTTCTATCAGAGCATTTGGCTTATGTGTGTGTTGATTTGTGCCAATGTTTATTGGTTATTTAGCTAATTTTCAAACTAGTGACAATTGCAATTTTAGCATTTTGCATACATGCTTCCTTCCTTCTCTTCCTCTCCTACTTTTAAGGAGAGGATATTCTGTTAAATAGTTTAATCATGTTTCTTTTCGCCTTTGGAATCACATTAAAGATCTTTTTTCTTAATGTTAAGTAACATCATGCATTCTCATTTTTATATAAATGTATGTATTAAAAGCCATCTGATTTTTTTTCTCATAAAGTGTCAGGTAAATATTTGTAGTTTATCTTAATTTCTAACATGTTACACTAACACTACTTATCAAATGTCTTCTTTTTCCTGAGACTGACTTACAGTTATTACTGCATATATATTGCTATAGTTATTACTACATATATACTGACTTACAGTTATTACTACATATATATGTGTGTGTATATATATGTATATATGTATACACACGTATATATACATGCATGTATATATAGAGTATATATATAGTATATATGTATGTGTGTGTATATATATGTGTGTATATAGGTATATATGTGTATATATACATATATACGCATACATAGGTATATGTGTGTGTGCATGTGTATATATATATATATATAGAGAGAGAGAGAGAGAGAGAGAGAGAGAGAGAGACCTTGGTATATATCCATATCTAGGTATGTTTGGTTGTATTTCTTTATCTCCTGCTCTGTTCTCTTAATATGCTTGTTTTTCCTCCCAGTATCATAAAGTTTTAATTCAATTAATAATGTATTTTCCTATCTGATAAACAAAAATCCTCTTTACTCTTGATTTAATCTACATGCTGTCTATATTATTAAAATTTATAATAAATCTCTAGTCAGATGAATTTCTAAGCTAACTCTTTATATATCTTGAGTCATCTCAGCCATTTTTTCTTCCATGTGCATTTGAGATTACCTTTGGTGGGAGTGTTTTTTGTTGTTGTGGTGGTTTTGTTTGTTTGTTTGAGATGGAGTCTTGCTCTTTCGCCCAGGCTGGAGTGCAGTTGCGTGATCTCAGCTCACTGCGACCTCCGTCTCCTGGATTCAAGCAGTTCTCCTACCTCAGCCTCCCAAGTAGCTGGGATTGCAGGCACCTGCCACCATGCCCAGCTAATTTTTGCATTTTTAGTAGAGACGGTGTTTTACCACATTAGCCAAGCTGGTCTCAAATGCCTGACCTCAGGTGATCCGCCCACCTCGGCCTCCCAAAGTGCTGGGATTACAGGCATGAGCCACTGAGCCTAGTCTGGAGTGTTTTTAATTTTAGAGTGGGTTTTAAAACAAATTTTAATGCTTTGATCGAAAATAAATGTACTGATATTCCTATTTTAATGTAGGACAGATATTGTAAATAAAGTATATTTTGTATTTAGGGTAGGAAGTTTATTTGTATCTGTTAAATCAAAATCATTGAATGTGCTTGTCAATCTGTAACATTACCTAAGTTAATTTGGTCTGTGAATAATTGACAATAATATGTGACTCTTGTGCTTCCATTAGTGTCCTATGTTAGTGCTACATCATAACTAATGATAAATTCGCCATGAGTTGTATGTAAATATTAGGCTTGCAGCATATTCAGCTTGATGTAGATAAAACTTCAGATGCATAAACACTTAGCTATAAATATACAAAAGTAGTTTTACCTTACCTTAATATATTGTTTTCCAATTAAGAAAATTTATCATGAGGTAGATTTTTTAATTCACACAGTAATCTTTGTATCATAAGTAATCATAAGTAATCTTCACCCTAATTAATGAGCAATATACACTTTCTAAAGATTGCTCTTTCAGTCTCAGACTCTAAGAGGTCTTCCAAAATAATTAAATGTTAAGTCAAAGAAATGTAAGATTTTTTTGGCCACCCATATCTTTCAAGCAGGGTATTGTACTTGAAAAAGAAAATAACCTTCCACTTAGCTATAGGCTATGTTTAATTCATATGTGAAATGCTACCTCCAGATGAGTGTGACATTTTGAAGAAGACATGTCAAGTTTGGAAAAGTTCAGAGACAAAACAAAATGATCAAGGGCATGTGGTTGCTTTCATGAGAAGATGCTACTGGAGTTGCCAGAGGCATGTTGTAGGGAGAGCCATACTGCCCTCCCTCATCTTGACACAGACAAAAGGCAGTTTCTTCGTCTTACTAGCACAACTGCATAGGCAGTTAGATATGCAGGGCATTTGTTGGGGGAATCACTTGTTAAGAGAAAGGGGAAAGGAGCTGGAGATGTCTGGGAGAACATTTACACCATTATGGATATCTGACACCTTAAATAAGGAAGAAAGATGCAGTGTGGGCCTATGAAAATTCTAGCAAGGTGATCAGGCAGGTACCCTTTGGAAGAACATTTCCCGGTAATTGGCCCTCGTAGTAAAGTGGTCCTGGTCAGATATTGTCTTGGAGCAATTATTGGAAGCATACCTTTCATGCAGAAGGGTTGTAGATATCATAAAGTAACTGATTTCACTGGTTAATTATGTTCATATTGGTAGGAGATCTGATAATCCTATTGTCATGGTTACCAACTCAGATCTCTGATTGTCCTTTCAACAGTATGACACCACTAAATCTCTTCTATACAAAATTTCTGATTCTTTGCTGAAGGATGGATTGAAAAGCTTAGGAGTTGAGACAGGCACGGTGGTTCACACCTGTAATCCCAGCACTTTGGGACACCTAGGTAGGTGGTTCGCTTGAATTCAGGGGTTCGAGACAAGCTCAGGGGTTCGAGACTAGCCTGGGCAACATAGCAAGACCCTGCCTGTACAAAAAATCGCCACGTGTGGGGTGCACACCTGAAGTCCCATTTGGGGCAGGAGGATCGTGTGAGCCCAGAAGGTGGAAGTTGCAGTGAGTGAAGACTGCTCCACTGTACTGCAGCCGGGGTGTTGGAGGAAGACCCTGTCCCTAAATAAATAAATAAAGCAAGGTCAGGAATTAAGTAAGAGCATAAAATGTCATGTTACATAATTAAAGCATGCTTTCTTATTGTGAATAAAATTATAAATAGTTTTGCTAAATTTAACGTATGTTAAAAAATGTTTCAAGTAAGGAGGATTCCCTCAATTTAAATCAGTTAATATAAAATTTAAAAGTAAAAGCCCTTTATATAATTGGATAGCAAAGTACCACCATGCACTTTTATCTTACATTTTAGAATGCATCTTTTTAATGTATTATTTATAATGTTTTGTTCTTCAGTGAGAAGTTAAAACTATCAAAAAAATAATTTCTGAAAACTCTATATCCAAAGTGGATAAGCTGCTTTAGCTTCCAATAAAAATAATTGTAGTTACACTTTCTTTAAAACAAGAATTCAGCTTTATAGCTGATGGAAGCAGGAAGCTAAACGTGCTTCTCCTTAAAAAGAATGATTTGTTTAAAAGTAAATTGACCGAGAAGCCTTTAAGAACAAGAAAGTTCTAATCATGGTGGGCAAGGGACTCTTTAGCTTCCAGTATACGGAAACCTGTCTAGTTTCCTTTCCATTCTTCAACCCTGTGGGAGAAAGGATGAAAGGATGCAGGAACTCTGGGGGCTCAGCTGGTGCAGAGTGCCAGAAAAGACAAATTATAGCTTTGAAGAGCTGGGAAATAGTCACATAAATGAATCAGCCTTGCTAAGGTGGTAATGGCTGATTGCTGCGAGATAAGCTATTCTGAAGAGACTTTGTTGCCAAAGCCTGAAGGTTGAGGACAAAACATGAGGAAGCACTTCTGACTGGTAGCCTGAATTCCTGAACTCCAGGTGAGTCAGAAGAGAACATTCTAATAAAATACAATATGTAGGATTAGGGTGAATGACGATGGTAAATTAAACAGAATATAAAAGTTAGTGTGCTGCATGGATATTATTTCTTTTTTGAGCTTGTTCTAGGGGAAATCTAGCATATCTTTATTAATTCTGATTTCACTTAATTCATTAATGTATTTTAATTAAAGCACAGGAAGTGGTGCATAACATCTTATTAATAATTTATAATATGTGGTCATTCTATTTGTCTTATTGAAAAGCAATCTCTGAAAAGCCTCATATTACTGGCAAGCGCATGTATGCAAACTGGAATATTGAACACACACACACTTGGGCACTTACAGGTAAGCTGCCAAAAGCAAAACACGAAAACCAAATTGAAAGTTACTGAATTGAAAAGCAAAGTGGAGGCTGTTGTAAGTAACTCACATATGAAGGACCAAAAATGTATTCCAATGGAGGCATACACCACCATGAGAAATCACAGTACTGTTGTATATAACCTTCTTTCAATGATTAGGGAAAAAAAATGAATTAAAAAGAAAAACCATTTTCATATTATTTGTGATACACTTGAGAGAAGCCATAAAGGCTTCCATAAGAGTGTTCCTACCCATTAGTGTTTATAACTACAGCTAAGCTTTTAATGCTACTACCAAATTGTTTTAATTCTAGCTTATTATAAGATGAGGATATCTAGCAAGAAAAATGCCTAAACAATAAAAAAGTATAAATCACATCAGTGTCATCAATGAAAAGAACATTAGGTTATTTTTTTTTTATTTTTATTTTTTTGAGACAGAGTCTCTCTCTATCGCCCAGGCTACAGTGCAGTGGCGCCATCTTGGCTCACTGCAAGCTCTGCCTCCTAGGTTCACACCATTCTCCTGCCTCAGCCTCCCGATAGCTGGGATACAGGCGCCAGCCACCAGGCCTGGCTAATTTTTTTTTTTTTTTTTTTTTGTATTTTTAGTAGAGACGGGGTTTCACCGTTTCAGCCAGGATGGTCTCGATCTCCTGACCTCTTGATCCGCCCACCTGGACCTCCGAAAGTGCTGGGATTACAGGCGTGAGCCACCCGTGTCTGTCCAGGTTCTTATTTGTACATAGAAAATTTGTAATATTAAAATGAGATAATCATAGTAGACCTTTCAACAACCAAGATTTGGGGTGCTGGCCCCCCACACAGTCAAAAATCTATGTATAATTTTTGACTTCCCCCCAGAATAACTGTATTCTTACAATAAAGTAAACTAGAGAAAAATGTTATTAAGAAAATGATAAGAAAAGAGAAAATATGTTGACTATTCAT
Source organism: Homo sapiens (assembly GCF_000001405.40). NCBI lineage: Eukaryota > Metazoa > Chordata > Mammalia > Primates > Hominidae > Homo > Homo sapiens. Next base: position 20,352,275 of record NC_000005.10, on the reverse strand, counting down.
TAAGTGGAAGTCATCATCATGGAGGTCTCCATTCTCTTCGTCTTCACATTGAGCAGGCTGAGGAAGACAAGCAAGAAGAAAGGTTGGTCTTACTGTCTCAGAGTTGCAGAAGCAGAAGAAAATCTGCTATAAATGGATCCTCACAGTTCAAACTCGTGCTGTTCAAGGGTCAAGTGTGTATGCATTTGGATCACTTGCATAAATGATTGATGCAGATTTTTTGCTGAATAAGATTAAATACTGCTTTATAAGCTTACTTTGAGTTTAGGTTACCTGGTTAACCTAAACTACTGAGCTTTAGCTGGATAGAAGAGGTGAGGGGCTTTCTTAGCTTTTGCTCTCACTGCCAGTTTAGCTTCTTTAAGAAAGTTTGCTCCAGTGGACTCGCTGGTTCCATACTTTTGCAGTGCCACATAAAAATTTGAAATACCGTAGCAAAAGCAATACCGAAAAGTGAAGATCTTACCCCACCAACAGGCAAAATTTGCTTCTAAATTTTGAGTTGAGTTTTGATTCCAATAGCCAACCGGTGGCAGCATAAATAGATTGCCATCCACAGCCACGGGAGTTCTCTGTTTTCACAATGGACATTCATATCATGACTATTATATCTTGACACTACTAAATCTTACGCTTCATTTACCAAAATTGTATTTTCCTACATCAGCTGGTCCAAAAAAAAACATTTTCAGCTATTACATGGTGATACTGTATGGACAAACTAAGTCTCTTAAAGTTTACAATACTGGAAATAAAAAGATATAAAGAAATAATTAAGTGTGCTGAAAAACAAAATCTTCAGCCTCTGCCAGATGATCTGTGCCTCTGTATCTTCAGGTAACATCACTCCAACCCTCAAATAAATGACAGCTGCTGTTAATGTTGCTTATATTGCAAATAAAATATTTCTAGAAAAGCATTTTATATGTGTTCGTTAATTTATTCAGCAAATAGTTATTGAATCTGTACTAAGTGCTTGCCACTGTTCTAACCATTTGATGTATCAGTGAACAAAAAAAAAAAACAACCCCCATGGAGTTGACATTCTGGTAGAAGGAGACAAAATAAGCAATAACACACACGCACACACACACACACACACACACACACACACAAATACATTTACTATGTTTGGAGCAGGTAAATGTCAGAAAGTAAAGAGATAGTCATGGTAAAAGGAATTGATTGTGCTGGGAGGTGCAATTTTAAATAGAACAGTTAAGGTAAGCCTCATTGTGAAGATGACATTTGAGCAAAGATTTGATGAAAATGAGTATGAAAAAGTTCTCCTTTTTTTTTTACTTTTCCAAAATGGAAGGATTTAGGAGTTTTTTGAGATATTGAATTAGCCTATTTTCTACCTGTTAATTTACCCTCTTTCATTATGAAGAAACTAAAATTTTCAAAGAAAGAGCAATTCTAACCTGAATAATATTCCAAAAGACTCAGATGAATAGCTTCATTTTGATAAATATTCATTCTTCCTCTTCCTCTTTTATTCTCCAAATTCTAAACTACCTTCATATATCTTATTCACTGTCACAGTTCTGAAATGTTTGCCTCCAGAGAGCACACTGAATAATCATATAGATTCTTAAACAGATCCTCATATAGCTAAACCCATAAAAGTCATGAAACACAGCAGTGTTAACTCATCAATGCATGAGAAATTCCCATGATATGAAAGTCTGCACAAGACAATTAATCTATGATTGGTTTTGTATATATTGGCAAGCTGGGGATGGTAGTTTAACAAAAGTAATTACCTTTATGAAGTAATATTTTAGGTAATAATTTTGTCAGATTGATAATCCAAAAATGGAATACATTTAACATTGAGGAAATTGAATTTACTTCTGTGTCTATAATCTATTAGCTACAATATGGTTAGAAATAAATATTTCTATAAAGTTGACTTCTTTGAATTAAATTAAATGAACCATTGAAACATATCATAAAACACATATATTAAAAATCACTGATTCATACTTCATTTTTGTTTTTATTGTTTTCCATTGTGTATATCAAATTGAAAAGCCTGGTGCTGTAACAGGTTAGAGGTATTATTATGAGATATATGTTTCCACTAAAAACAAAAAGAAATTTTTTTGTAATGTAAGAATAAATATTAGAATAAATCAGTAAGCAAGGAGACACCTTAGTGAGTCCATGTATTGCCTTTTGAAAGCCACTTATCTAAACATAAAAATATTACACGAGAACTCAAAATATTTTTTGAGCCAGGCTTTACTATTTCTGCTTCCAGGTTGAGTAAGCTAGGTTGGAAGGATATTTCAGATGTGCTTTCTTGACCTTGGCCAACTGTGACATCATCTTTAAAACAATGCAAACTGCTGTGCATGATGCTGTATATGAAAAGTTGAGGTTTTAGAGCATTTCAAGCCTTATTGGCTCCAGCTCGTTTATCTTAGAAGATCAGAAATTTGGCTGAAAATATGTCCCATTATTTTCCTGTGTTAATAGTTATGTAATATGATTTCTTCTTAGGTCTGACAAAATGTAATCTGACTTATCTTTTGAAAATTGGACATGTGCAATAGAGTGTTAAATATGAAAAATAACATTCATTAAACTGACAGATAAGGAGCTAAAACATTATATCTTGTAATCTTTGTGTATTCCCTGTGCTTGATATACTGATATTATATCCTTTTCATGTCTTTACTTACTATGAATACATAGCCCAAGAACTTCTCTTCAATAATCTACTATTTTATCTTTTATCTGTGCATTTGAACTTTAACGCCTGCTGGATCAAACACTTTCTTTCATCAATAAGATGAAAAGATTTTCCATGTATTATTCTCAATTTCAAAAATAAACCAGCGTATTCTGAAGATTAGAGGCAAAAAAAGACAGAGGTTCCCGAGTATTCAATGAATTCTGCATTTTTAACGGATGTAAATTGCAAATGAGCTTAAATCACATCATACTAAAATTCGATCTTTTGTCTTGAAAAAGGCAAAATAGAATACAAAAAAAATATATCTCCAAAGTACTACTGTTTGGTTGTAAATGCCTAAAATTTCCACAATAAGTGTGAGTAAAAGAAATCTAAAATGGCCTTTAGAAGTTAGTTTTACTCCTTTATGACATCACCAAGCCCTTTATTCTATTCCTTTAGTTATGGAACAAGGTAAGAAATCATAGTCTATAAAAGTATCAACTTTTTAACTATTCTTGATTTGTGATAATTGCATAATAGGTGACTTTGATGAGTAATGTTTTTCTTTAAAAAGTAAATACACATTTCCAATGCAGAATCTAACATTAGTAGAGATAAAATACCTTTTAAAAATAATTATACTTATTTAAGGAAAAGTAATTATGGCTTCTGGACCTTATATCAAAAAAAGTAAATGTTTTAGGGCTTGCACAAAAGGTAAGTTTTTGTTTAGTTTTTTGAGAATGAAGGGCCAGGAACAATGGATCTGCTTATAGAGAAGGGTGGGGATGGGACTGCAAAAGTTGTCAGATTTAATGTTCCCTAAAAAAGTACTTTCATCTGGAAGCTGGAAATGCCTCATCCCATCTTATGTGTAGGAATGCACTCTCTTCACTTTATGTTTGTATGTGCTTTTCCCTGTCTTGTATTCCATTGTGGATTCTTATATTTCCAAGCTGCTTTCTCAGTATGATGCAAATTCCCTGAAGTCTCTCACAACACTGGTCACTTGATCAACGTTTCTGTCTTAAACACATTTCACTCAGGTTTTTTCCTATCTTTGTCAGAGCAACAAATTATTTTCCTCCACACACTCTGACAAGCAGCCTCACTACTAACAGCTTACCAAAACTGATAAGGAAAAGAAAAATGCTTTTTAAACTGCACAGATCTTTCATTAATCATTGTAAATATTTTATTCAGCTGGCTTCTTGTCAACCTACATTTTGCATTAGTATTTTCTCTTGTATTGTAATTGTCTACAAGACAGATTTGCCTACATGTTTGCCTTTGAAAATTGTGATTAAGCAATTAATGGATGTCTCTTTGTTGTTAATGAGTTTGTTATTCCATGCTATGAAATCTTATTTTATATCCAAACAGGTTTGAGAGAAAGATTAGATGTGGGATAAAGATATTGTCTAATTTACTCATAGCCACAAATTTACTAGAAGATCTAGATTACATGAGTAGTGGGGGATCTTTTTTTGTCTTATAACAGTAATGCATTATTTTTCAAGAAAAGAGTTGAGAGTGTTGCAGTCTGCTTAGTCCCTAGTACAGCTAAGTCCAAATTCTTGTCCCACAACCAAGAAGAATGAGACATGCAGACATTGGAGAGTGAGTAGAGTAGGATTTATTAAGCAAAAGGAAAGTTATCAGCAAAGAGAGGGGGCTGGAAAGCAAGTTTCCAGAAACAGGACTGAGTTCCTGATATGTTATGTGGCAGAAGCCAGGAAGTCTTCTGTAGGTTTTTCTCCAAATGGGAGAGGTAAATGTTCCTCCTATGGGTGTTGCATCTGCACATGCTTGAGTTTGGGCTGACTGACTCCCTCTTGGTTATTACCCATGAATGCTTAACCAAAATCCATGGAGGGGCTAAACACACAATGCTGATATCATGTTAACAATATTATATTTAGCAAGGTTAAGACAAAGATATTTATTTTGATGAATTGTGCCTGCCCCTAAGTTGGGACAGTCCCTGTGAGCAGCACCCTGGCTTAAGGGGAAGCTCTTAACCACATTTCTTCCCTTTAGCTGCATAGGCAGTTTAGGTGCTGTCCATGGTTGTTCATGTGAATATTGCCTCTCTCTGTTCTTCTCCACTGATCCTCCCTCTCGATCTGCCTAACCAGCTCCTAACTGCCTCCTCTCTCCTTCCCCATTCTGGAGTAGTGACCCTAATTGCGGTTTAGGGAAAAGGGAAGAAAACCACACTAGCTGCTCAAGCTGTGAGGGGACATTGTTTGTGTGGCAGTCAAGAGTCATGCAGAGGGTGGTCTAGCAGGCCTCGGAAGAAGGACTTGTCCATGTGGGGTGCCATCTGCATCACCATCTAAAATTTGATGACCTCTAGGTGAGAAGAAACAAATTTTACAAGAAGGTTTAATATGCAGAGTCCAAGAAGCAGAGCTAAGACAATCATTACCAGAAGTCCTAATAAGTGGGGGAACCATGTCATTGAAGGGAGATATCCTTTAATGGTATTTCATATATCTCCAGCTAAATGGGTCTTAGCACCCCTTAACAATTTAGCTCTACAAAGTAGATGGTTGGCTCCAAATTCAACCTCTCCTTAGGAGTTAACATAAAAACAACAAGAAGTATCTGCTATAGCACATACCCCTCATTTTTCTGCTAAGAGATAATCAAGGTCTATTCTGTGATCCATCACCTGATTGGCAAGTAAATCTAATGACATTTGGAGGACCTTAAAACCCTGAACAGCATCTTCAGCATATTGTTCAATTACACTTGATGCATTTTGAATTGTTTATGCATTGTAAACTATTCCTACAACCGAGCCACCTATGGATGTAACAGCTGTTATTACACTCAAGGCTATAAGACCTACTCCTCGTTTCTGTTTGGTACGTTCTTAATGGGAAGGGACTTTGTGAAGTAGATACTGGCATATTTGTAAAGAGCCATCTAGAGGTAACACCCATTGCAGGGAATACATCCCTCGCACCACTGTGCAGTATAGGCAACTCAAGGCCCAGAGTTTTTGCTGCTGGTCTTCACAGACGAACCACAGTCCCTGAGATGCATAAAAGATAGTGGTATTTTTTCAAGTTCACCCACTTCTGTACATCCTGGCTGAATGTACAGTTTGGGACAGATGATTCAGCTCCTAAAGGACCCCAAGAAGTACCAGCCCAAGCTCTTTCCTTTTGTAAGGCAGAGTGGTTTGTTAAGGCACCAACAATTAAATCTGCCCACATACAATGAATGTAGGCATTAACTGTCCAAAAATTCTTGTTCTGATAAGTTTTAATACCTCTAGTCCCGTTAAATAGTTGATAAGCAAAAGCTTTGGAAGAATAAAAATTTTAATTAATAAGACTCTCTGCTCCATAACATAGAGTGTTCCATGTTGTTAGTCTCCAGGTGGAAACACAGGGTATTGAGGACTACTAGGGAAATCCTCTCTTATCGAGGTGGGTAGTCCCCCCATGTTTGTACCAAACAGCCATTCTAAACGGTTGGATTTCTGGGACTACTGCTGCATTTTCAGAAAAGGGTTGGAAACATTTAGGAAAGTGAGAGGAATATATTAATCATATTTAGCTTATTGGAGCATTTCTGATAAATATGCCAGAGTGCAAGAGGTACTCCTGATGGTAATTGTGGTGACAGTAAAGTGAAATTCTTTACTACATGCATAATTTGTGACATTCCAAAGGAGATATACATAGCTTTTTTGAGGGTGGCCCCCGTCCGCAGTGGAGGACTTCTTATAAATTGTATTAATGGAGGGGCTGAAATGGAAGGACTACAGAAGCATTGTGGCCACTCTGGAATTGGTGGTGCCTGCTTGCAAGGGTTGGTTATAGGTTTCAACTTGTATAAGTATGAGGTGGATTTTTTCAGGAGATTCATGGCAAATCTAACAATTACTAAGATTCTGACCTTTTGTTATATCCTGGGTTAGGTGGGTTAGGTAATTTCCATTTCCTATCTTACATATTATTTAAAAAACTAATATAAAAAAGCCATTCATAATATAAGCAGACGTTAAACAATTACTTAGCTAAGAAAGTTGCATATGGTTGGAATAAATATAAATGATATAATAAAAAAGAGCTACAGAGGGAAAAAACAGGAATAAAAAGCAAAATAGGCTAATCACTTTGAAAGCAATGTTGTGGCTAAAGCTGTTTCACGTTGTGAAAGACATTAAATCCTAGCAGAAAAATAGCTGCTTAGGGAAGTAAATAATCCCTTGGGTGTTCCGGATTAAGGGATCCTTGGCAAAGTTGCCTTATCGTGAGAATTACCACAGAAGCAGAGCAGCAGTTATAAAAAATAGTACCCCAATATACCCCAATATACAAATTACAACCCCAATTTCCAATTGGATGTTGGGAAGTCTGATTCCAAATAATATTTGACCTCTCCCAAAGGATCTATTAGATTAGTATTTAGACTCCATGGGTAATGAAAGTCTCCCTGTAAAAATGCATCAAAAAGTGTTTCAATATTCACTGATGAGTGGTGAGAGGAAAAGTGGAGATAATTGAATGGCTTTGGCAGATAAGGGATACAATGGGACTAAGATGATGGGATTAGCAATGAGAGTGTTCACTGTTCATAAAGGTGAGAGATTAATTGCTGGCAAGGGCAGCAACACACAGGTTTAACTATGCAAGTTAGAACAAATGCAATGACACCAAGTACCAAATGTCATATGGGTAACACCAGAGAAAGAATGTCAATAGGCCCCATATGTTACTTATCTTTTATAATTTTTATTTTGAGATCTCTAATTTCTTCACATTGATATTTTTTGTGTCCTTCTGAGCTAGTGGAGGCAAAGGGGCTCAAACCTGTCTTTGAAGGGGTGTTTCTCACCCATAATAAGGCCATGGGAAGAAGAGTGACCTGAGGGAAATGAGTTTCTTGAGACATTTTTCTGAGGTCCTTTGATAATATCATTTATCTTTTCTACCTTTCCCGAGAACTGTAGTCTCTAGGCACAGTGAAGACGGTATGGTATGCTTAGTGCTTTTGAGGCCCCCTAGGTGACAGCCCTTGTATAAGGGGCCATTATTGCTCTGGGAGTACTTATGGAGTCCAAAGTGAGTAATTATCGTATTAATTAGTACTTTATCAACTCAGAGGCTCTTTCTGTCATGGGAATGCTTCTACCCAGTTAGTAAAGGTATCTACCCATACCAAGACATACTGGATGCCCCTTATCTTTGGCATAGGGGTGAAATCTGACTGTCAGTCTTCCCCTGGGTAGCCTCCCATTCTTTGGGTTCCAGGGGAGAGAAGCTGTCTGTTGAGGGGATTAATTTTAAGGCAAATTTCACAAGCATTAATAACCTCTTTGACTGTATTTAGCAGATTTTCACCTGAGAACAGCCTTTGGGCCAATTGGTAAGTTTTATTCTTTTCTAGGTGAAAGGATTGATAAAGGATTTTAAGAACTTTCCATTGGCTGGAGGCAGGCAAAGGAAGTTTGCCATCCTCCAATAGTAGCCATCCTTTGGGCTGAAAAGTGTATCCTTGAGAGATGGCTCATTCTATTTCTGCAGGAGAATACCAAGGTTTTATTTCTTTTATGGAGCCCTTCCAGATCAGAGGTTCCTCAAGTGCATTGGAACTCTGGGGCATTTTTGCTGCTAACTTAGCTGTTTGGTCTGCTAATCTGTTTCTTTTGGTTATTTTACCCATCCTCTTTTGGTGGACTTTGCAATGTATTACTGCCACTTCCCATGGAAGGAAAAGTGAGGATACTCGTTTGTCAATTTCCTGATGGTATTTAATGGTAGACCCATTAGATGTAAGGAAGTGTCTCTCTTTCCAGTAGTGGCATGGAGGACTAGGAAAGCATACTTGGAATCAGTGTAAATGTTAATGGCTTTCTCTTTGTTTAATCCAAGTACCCTAGTGAGAGCAATTTGCTCAACCAGTTGAGCACTTGTGTCCAGTGAGAGAGGTGTGCTTTCAATAATGTCATTCAGGGTGACCATTGTATATCCTGCTTTATGGACTCCTTGTTCTACAAAAGAACTTCCATCTGTAAAGAGAATCCAGTCTGGGTTATCAAAGGGGGTTTCTTTGAGGTCCTCCCTAGCCACATATATTTGCACCACTATCTGCATGAATTGTTGGTAATGTAATGGGGTCCTTCCTCAGGGGGACATGGCATTCCCTTCATTCAAGGGATTCTGTGTCTGTAAACTGGCTCAAGTCTGGACAGTGATTGAGGGGCTGTGATTCTCTGTTTTTATAATTCAAATTAGTCTTTTGTCCATTCAACCTATAAGTTTTCTGTTTGTATAATGTATGTAGGAATGCAGTAGGCTTCCTATCAGTTTTACTTCTAGGAACATTGTGATTAGTTAGCCAATGCCAGGGCTCTACAGGTGTCAGACTATTCTATTGCCACTTTGCCTCTGCTATCCATTATGGTAGCTACGCCCACCTTGCCTTGCCTTTGATGGTTGAGTGCTGCCACTTGGCCTTTGCCACCTCGGGATCCAATTATTCCCATTGTGTTTAAATATTTTAGTTGAGTGACTGCAGTTCAAACCGTTAGATCTGACATACAGAGAAAAGCAATTATAGGGCTCTTCAAAGATGCAGGTGCTGCCCTCACAAATCTATTCTGCAAGGCATTGGTGAAGGGTATATCTTCTGGACCCTCCCAGCTGGGATGAGTAGGTCTAAAGTGACTAATCCACTCCACCATCACAATCTCTCTAAGCCTTTGAATCCCTTACTCTACACTAAACCAGGGAGGTCAAGCATTTCCAGCTCACTCATGGTGGACCAACTTTTAACGCATATTTCAGCTAACCAAGCAAATAAACTATTAGAACCTTTTTTAACTCCCTGACCTGCAACATTAAATGCAGAGTCCCTACTCAGTGAGCCCAAATCAATAAATGCAGTCTGATCCAACTCTATGTTCCTTCTGCCATTATCCCACACTCTTACTATCCATTCCCATGCCTATTCTCCAGATTGCTGTTTATCTAGAGAACTCAAACAGTTCTTTTCAAGTGTAGTGCACCTCCTCATGGGTCACACTCTCAACTTTACCTCTAGGGTCCTGCCGGGACTTTAGTTATGGGTGTAGAAGCAAACAGAGGTGTTAGGGATAGCATCTGAAGAGAATCAATATTAACTTGCCTGGCAGCTGCCTCAGGGGAGGCCATCACTGTTCCCTCAGGGAGCACAGGGTTTATCTCCTCAGACAAAGGTGGAAAGCCTGATGGCAGCATGGGTCAGGTAGGGGTATTGCCATTACTGGGGATGGGGAAGCTGTTCCTTCTGGCAAAATAGGTTCATCAGAGTTTACAAACTTAGTGTCCCCAGCTTCATCAGGGTCCTCCCACACGTCCCCATTCCAAGTTGCAGGGTCCCATTCTTTTCCAATCAATACCCTCACTTTAACAGTAGACACCGGGTGAGGCTGTGCATGGATCTTTCATTGCAGGTCAGCCACTCATATGATAAAATCTTATGTTTGTTTTTCCGTAATTTCAGCTCTTTCTCTCCAGGAGACAAAACTCTTACTCAGGGCAATCTTAGCAGATGTGAGGCTCAGAATCTGCTTCTGAAGCGAGGAGACAGAATCACTGAGTTCATCATTTTCATTCATCACTTTGTCCACTGAGCTTAGGAGCAACCAACCAGCTTCATTATGTTCCTTGGTCCTCCAAATATGATCAAAGGTATTATGTGTAGAGTCACTAAACTCCTTGCTTCTCATGATCAGTGAATCAGGAGTGTCATATGCATTTTTTTTTTGCATGACTCTCTAAACAGTTCACATCAAGGACTATCAGTGTTCTCCATACTACTAGAAGTAGAGTCCTTAGCATTTTTGGGTCTACTCACATTAAGCAGCCAACTTCAGAAACCCCAAAACAAATGAAAGAACTCCATCCTTAATATTCTGTTATCCAGAACCACTCCTGGTACCAAAATATGTATTAGTCAGGGTTCTCTAGAGGGACAGAACTAATAGAATATACATATCCTATTAGTTCTATATTAGTGTTTGCATAAATATATATATATATGCCCTCTAATATATATATTAGAAAGAGTTTCCTTTATATATACAAAGGAGAGTTTATTAAATATTAACTTACATCATCACAAGGTCCCAAAATAGGCTGTCTGCAAGCTGAGGAGCAAGAAGAGCCAGTCTGAGTCCTAAAACTGAAGAACTTGGAGTCCAATGTTAGAGGGCAGGAAGCACCCTGTATGGGAGAAAAATGTAGGCTGGGAGGCTAGGCCTGTCTCATCTCTTTACGTTTTTCCACCTGCTTTATATTCGCTGGTTGCTGATTTGATGGTGCTCACCCGATTAAGGGTGGGTCTGCCTTCCCCAGTCCACTGACTCAAATGTTAATCAACATTGGCAACACCCTCACAGACACACTCAGGATCAATATTGCATCCTTCAATCCAATCAAGTTGACACTCAGTATTAACCATCACAAGGGGATATTGCCTCTGGTTAGGGAAGGATGTGGGAGCTGTAAGATGGATTTGAACCAGTATGGTGGTTGTAGCCCTGCCAATTTTTCCTTGAGTTTCCCAAACTTCTGAATTAATGTTGGTCTCCACCAGGGGAAGACAAAGTGTTTGCTCTGGATCTATAAGGATGATCAGTCCCATAGGAGCTAAGAGATCCCTACCTAGCAAAGCAGTTGGGCTTTCAGGCATGATTCAAAAGGCCTGAGTAAACAAGAGTTCTACCCAGCTCCAACTTATGGGTTGAGGAAAACGTCGGATTAAAGTCTTTCCTGAGTTGTTCATCACGGTCATGCTACAGGAGGAGGAAGGCCCAGATTGGAGGGGAGATCAGAAAGGCTCACTCCAGTGTCCAGAAGGAAGTTCACCTTCCTCCCTTCAACCTCCAGAATCACCTGAGGCTCCTAGATGGTAATAGCAGTCTGAGCCATTGGAGCTGTGGAGTTGAGCCCATGACCCATCCATCCTACTGGACCATTTGTGAGACTAGCTCTGGACCCAGTGACCTAAACCTCCAGGGACAGTGAGCCTTCCAGTGGTCCCCAACACAGGCTGGACAGCGTCAAGGAGACTTCCTTTTGCTGCCTGGACAATCCTTCTTAAAGTGTCTTGGTTTGCCACACCTGTAGCAATTAACAGGTGCAGCTCAGGACTCCTGGGTTTTATAGGCCTGCAGAGTAGCCACTAGAGCCTCTGCCTTTTTCTTGTGCTTCCTCTTTCTCCTGAGCCTCCTCCTCGTGCCTGTTGTAAAAGACGAGGTGGCCACCTTCAGGAGGTTTTATAAGGTGTTATCTGGTCCTATGGCTTATTTCTGTAGCTTCTTCCTGACAACTTGTCTAACTGGGTAATAAACTTGTCCTTTCATATTTGTTGTCCTTCATTTGAATTGAGAAACAGGGAGGTGTGTTTTATTAAAGCTTTTCTCAGCCTTTCCAAAAAGGCTGAAGGATTTTCATCTGGTTTCTGGTCTATCATAGATAGTTTGGAGTAATGAAGAAGCTTGGCCCTGGTTCTTTGTGAGCCCTCTAATATACACATTAGAAAGAGATTCCTTCTCCATTCTCTGGTGCTTTCATCAATGTTCCATTTAGAGTCCTCCAAGGGCACTGCTACCCTCTCAATTGGATAATACTCTTCCCCTTTTCTGGCATTGTATGAGACACAAAGTTTGTCTTCAAATTTCTCTGCTGCTTGCAGGGCTGCCTATTTTTCAGCAGCAGTCAGGGTTTGATTCAAGGGTTGCATAAAATCTTTCCAAGAGAGTTTAAATACTTTGGTTAAGTTCTGGAAAGCTTCTATATACATATCAGCATTATCCGGAGTACCAAGATCCCTCTTAATTTGTTTTAAGTCCTGTATAGAAAAGAGGACCTGTACCTTAATGGGACCATATTCACAAGGCATCTTTTCTAGGGGCATGAGTAAGGCCAGGGGCCACCTAAAAAGAGGGTTCCTAGAATGGGGTAAGTTTGACGGGGTTCTAGGAAGTCCTGGATAAGTTGGGCAGGATGGACCAGGGGAACCTATAGAGAAGGTAGTGCCTCTCTATAGGCATTTCCAGGGATTCCCGCCTCCCTGTCCCAGTCCACTAAAACTGTCCCTTGCAGCTCCTCTCACAATACAACTGCTAGTAGGGCTGAGTCAATGCTATAGCATTGAAAGAGGTCTGGGTTATCCCACAAAGCAAAGGAGGCTTATACATATGGGACCTCAGACCATTTACGCTCATGTTTGCAGAAAAGGTCCGGCTGCTGGATGGTGTTAAAATTAATACTTCCCTCAGGAGGAAAGACCTGTCTGTCCTCTAGCTGGTAAGCCAGCCATGCCTTTGTGCAAAAGAATATAAGTAATTTTCTCTTTAGAGTCTGAGGGTCAAAGGAGTCCCAGTGTTTCAGGAGGCACTTGAGGGGAGTGGAGGCTGAAGATGTTACCCACCTAGAAAGAGAGAGGAGAAAAAGCAGCCTATCCAGAAAGAGAGGGGAGAAAAGGCATCTCTTAGTCTGCTTCCCCCATTCAGAGTGTCCTTGGGTGGAGAGAGAGAGAATAGGCATCCTCTGTCTTCTTTTTCCCTCACTGTATCCCCTGGCTCCTGTCGGCTGTCATAAGTACTGCCTATGGATCCAGAGTAGCTAGTCAACAGGGGAAGTCACACTTACCTTGTTTTAAGTGTACCTGGGCAAAGCCCTAGCTCTCCACTGTTGGTGTCTTTGCCTTCCTAGCCTAGTTGCCTTTTTAGACTTCCACCTTGGGGCCCTGAAGAGACACTGGAATAGCTGAATGTGGGCCAAAAACCTCAATGGAAGGGGTGCTCTAGGCCATTCACTAAATTCTTCACTCATTTTGCAGGTCAGAGATTGGGTAAAATCAAGACATCACAGAAAAAGGGAATGATTAACCTCCAAACATATTCCTCCTTGTTGTTTCAGTTCCATTGCAACTGGAAATATACCAGATGTCTCAAAAGGATGTAACCTTCATACTGGTTCCCTCCCTTCTGCAGAGACAGCATAGAAGCAAACATCTGTCTAGCTATGCTTTCTTCTTTTTCCCTATCATACAGTAAACTTTTCCATTTGCAAATGGGGCAAGAGGCTTGGTCCCTGATGAGAGGCCGGAGGAGTGTGTGTAATTGGAAAACTAAAGGTTTTGGCCAGAGGGTTGATGAAGCTCCCCAAGGAAAGAAATCCCATCCCATCACGTGGCTTGATAATAATTGAAATGTTTGGCTGTAACTTTTCCTCCAAATACTTTCTTTCCAGGCAGACATTGTAAAGAGAGGTTTGGGGCTTGATAGGCTGTCTCTACAATGTGTCTCCTAACAGAAGAAAATTAATTTGTCTCATAGAGATGCTGCTTAAATTCATTGGACAGTGCTGAGTTCTTACATGAAGAAAGAAACAGCCCAAATGGAAAGAAGAGTATTGATATGGTTTGGCTGTGCCTCCACCCAAATCTCATCTTGAAATCCCACCTATTGTTGGAGGGACCCAGTGGTAGGTAACTGAATCATGGGGGCAAGTCTTTCCCATCGTGTTCTCCTGGTGGTTGGTGGGTCTCACAAGATCTGATAGTATTATAAGGGGAAGTTTCCCTGCACAAGCACTCTCTCTTTGTCTACTGCCATCCATGTAAGACTTGACTTGCTCTTCTTTGCCTTCAACCATGATTGTGAGTTTTCCCCAGCCACGTGGAACTGTAAGTGCAATTAAATCTCTTTCTTTTGTAAATTGCCCAGTTTAGGGTATGTCTTTATCAGCAATGTGAAAACAGACTAATAAAGTAAATTGGTACCAGTAGAGTGGGGCATTGCTGAAAAGATACCCAAAATGTGAAAGCTGCTTTGGAACTGGGTAACAGGCAGAGGTTGGAATTGTTTGGAGGGCTCAGAAGAAAACAGGAAAATATGAAAATGTTTGGACCTTTCTAGAGACTTGTTGAATGGCTTTGACAAAAATGCTGATAGTGATATGAACAATAAGGTCCAGTCTGAGGTGGTCTCAGATGGAGATGAGGAATTTGTTGGGAACAGGAGCAAAGGTGATGCTTGTTATGTTTTAGCAAAGAGACTGGTGTCATTTTGCCCCTGCCCTAGAGATTTGTGGAACTTTGAACTTGAGAGCCATGAGTTAGGGTATCTGGCAACAGACAAATACCCTACGCAGCAAAGCATTCTAGAGGTGACTTGGATGCTGCTAAAGGCGACTTGGGTGCTGCTAAAGGCATTGAGTTTTATAATGAAAGCAGAGCATAAAAGTTTGGAAAATTTGCAGCCTGACAATGTGAATAGAAAAGAAAATCCCATTTTCTGAGGAGAAATTCAAGCTGCTGCAGAAATTTGTATAAGTAACAAGCCACATGTTAATCACCAAGACAATGGGGGAAAATGTCTCTAGGTCATGGCAGAGACCTCTGTGCCACACAGACACCACAGAGTGAATAGCGTAGAATTGATTAAGCAAAAGGAAAGTTCTAGGCAAAGAGAGGGGGTCTGAAATCAGGTTTCCAGAAATGGGGCTGAGTTCAGCCTCTTTTATGTGGCAGAAGCCAGGAAGTCTTCTATGGGCTTTGCCCAAATGGGAGGGGTAAATTTCCCTCCTAGGGGTGTTGCATCTGCACATGTCTGGGGTTGGCCAGAGTGAGTCCATCTTGGTTATTATCCATGAGTGCCTGAGCAAAACCCATGGGGAATCTGAAACCACAATGCTAATGTCATGTTAATGACTTTATAATGAGCTGGGTCAAGTTAAGGACATTTAGGTTGATTTATTGTGGCTGCACCTAAGTTAGGACAGTCCCTTCTGAGCAACATCCTGGCATAAGGAAAAGTTCTTTTTTTTTTTTTTTTTTTTTTTTTTTTTTTGAGACAGAGGCTCCCTCTCTGTTGCCCAGGCTGGAGTGCAGTGGTGTGATCTCGGCTCATGAGAAGCTATGCCTCCCGGGTTCACGCCATTCTCCTGCCTCAGCCTCCAGAGTAGCTGGAACTACAGGCGCTGGCCACCACGGCCGGCTAATTTTTTTGTATTTTTAGTATAGACGGGGTTTCAACACATTAGCCAGGATGGTCTTGATCTCTTGGCCTCGTGATCCGCCCGCCTTGGCCTCCCAAAGTGCTGAGATTACAGGCATGAACCACTGCGCCCAGCCATAAGGCGAAGTTCTTAACCCCATTTCTTCCTGTTAGCTGCAGACACATTGTGGGTGCTGTCCTGTGGTTATTCCTGTGAACCTTGCCTTTCTCTGTCCTTCTCCTGAGACTCTCCCTCTCTATCTGCCTAACCAGCCCCTAACTGTGTCCTCTCTCATTCCCCCCTCTGGAGTGGTGATCCTAACTGCTGTTGGGGGAAAAGGGGAGATGACCACACTAGCTGCTTGGAGCTGAGAGGGGGCATCATTTGTGAGGCAGTCGGGTCCACCAGAGGGCAGTCTAGTGGGCCTTGGAAGAAGGACTTGTCCAAGTGGGGTTCCATCTGCCTCATCATCTAAAGTTTGATGGCCTCTAGGCGAGAAGAAACCCTCCCTATCTGCCCAACCAGCTCATAATTGCCTCCTCTCTCAATAGTACATAATTTTATTCATTATACTCACCATTATTTTAATTACAAAAAATTTTTCCTCTACACAAACCCTTCTGCTTAGCTTTCTTTCTGTAAGACCAAGTTTTGTTAAAAGTAAATGAAATCATTTTTAAGAATATTCTTTCATAATGTAAAGTAACACACCAATGAAAAGTAGTGTTAATGTCTTTGTTCATAATGCTTTAATATTTTTATGACATACTTTTCAGTTGCCTGGTGCATGCTTTAACTCTCATTTCTCTGATGAACAAATGTTACTGAGATTCTACTATGTTTCAGACACTCTTCCAGTTCTGAAAATACAGCAGTGAAAGACACAGATAAAAGTTCCTATCCATTTAAGTGATAAGACTCTGAAAATAATCAAATAAATAAGTTGAAGTATGCATATTTTCAGATGCTGATAAGAAAAACAAAGCTAAGGTGTCCCTGGGACTTATAGAGTAATAGGATAGTGAAAGTCTCAGA
The DNA here is from genome assembly GCF_000001405.40 of Homo sapiens. Classification (NCBI taxonomy): domain Eukaryota; kingdom Metazoa; phylum Chordata; class Mammalia; order Primates; family Hominidae; genus Homo; species Homo sapiens. Next base: position 20,335,541 of record NC_000005.10, on the reverse strand, counting down.
AATGTCCTCATTGGGAATGTGACCTTAAAGAAAAGTTTTGGGAGGGCAAGGTGGGAGGATCACTTGAGGCTGGGAGTTCAAGACTACCCTGGGCAACAGAGCAAGACCCTGTCTCCACAAAAATAATGACAATAACAACAATACAATAATAATAATAAAGTTGAGATAAAAGAAAAAGTCTGAAGGAAATAACAGTGAATAACTGAAGTGAATAACTGAAGGAAATTAACTGTGTGAATATGTGGGGCTTTTATAACTGGTAAAAGAAACAAATGCAAAAGTCCTGGGGGAATAGAGACTTAGCATGTTAGAAAAACAAGAAGAAGTCCACCTTGCTACAGAGAAATAAGGGAAGAGTGATGAAGCATCAAGCAGGAGGCATAATGAGGGAGGAAGGAAGCCTTGTAGGGGCTTTGTGGGACTTAGGTTTTGACTCTGTATGATGTGATGACACGTTATGGGAGGTTTGAATGAGGTTCATTCTGCCTAGCACAAGATCAGGAAACCAAAGAGAAGACTCAAAAAGACCAGTAAGGAAGGTATCAACTGTGTCCAGTTGAGAAGCAATGGAGGCATTGACCAAAGTGGCTGTTGCATCATTGAGAAAGACCAATTTTCACTGTGTTTTGGAGACAGAGATTGTTATTGTCCTGCTGGATCTAAGCATGTTGAGAGAAAAAGAGAGGAGTCTGGAGTATCTGACAAGATGAAAGAATCAGGTTGTGCTTTATTGAGGTGGAGAAGCCATTTGTGTGTGTGTGTGTGTGTGTGTGTGTGTGTGTGTGTGTATGAGAGAGAGAGAGAGAGAGAGATCATAGCACTCATATATGTGTTGGGAAGAATTAGGAGAATTTCTTTTAATAAATTTAAAATATTATTAGTTATAGAAATCTTAATGTGGACTATTCTTCTTTCACCCCATAAACAGTTGTGAAGTTCTTTTAGATACCACATTTGTCATCTCTCTGGGACTCATGTCGTTCCCTCTTCTCTCTGATTGACATTAGTCTTCAATCGTTTTTTCCTGAGTTATTTAAACATCGTCTGAATCATCTCTCTGCTGTTCATTATTAGTCTTTCCAGTGCCTATTAAGAATTCAAGTCAGGCCGGGCGCGGTGGCTCACGCCTGTAATCCCAGCACTTTGGGAGGCCGAGGCGGGCGGATCACGAGGTCAGGAGATCGAGACCATCCTGGCTAACACGGTGAAACCCCGTCTCTACTAAAAATACAAAAAAAAAATTAGCCGGGCGAGGTGGCGGGCGCCTGTAGTCCCAGCTACTCGGGAGGCTGAGGAAGGAGAATGGCGTGAACCCCAGGGGGCGGAGCCTGCAGTGAGCCGAGATTGCGCCACTGCACTCCAGCCTGGGCGACAGCGAGACTCCGTCTCAAAAAAAAAAAAAAAAAAAAAGAATTCAAGTCAGATTTATACATTTAAAATACAGTAATGACTATTTTATTATCCATATCAAAGATGTTCAGAGATTTTCCTTCTTCTTCCTCTACTCATTCCCTCTCTTGGCATTCAAGATATTCCAAAACATGACCCCAAACGTTTATCTTTTAAATTCATTTAACATCTTTGCTCATCAAAAATTGCAATTTTATAAATTAAATAGTTACTTATGATAGGAATAACTTATGTCTTTTTAGCCCTTCAAACTCATCTTTAAATTTTTCTTATGAATTATTTACATCTATAAGTTTTACCTTACAAAGTGATGCCTCCAGTAAGATGCTGCTGGGCTAGAAAAGATAATGCTTCCAGGTGGAAATGAACTATTTTGGAGTCAAGGTGTACAAATTGCTGCATAACACTGTAGCAAATAGCACAATCGATGCCGGTTAAATTCTTAAAATATTTAAGCATTTGTCTTTTGATCTCACTTTTCTCATTTGAATTGAGGAATGAAATTGTTCATAATATCAACAAGGCAAAGATTACCTTTATAAACATGAAAGATATATATAAATATATATATATACATATATGTGTGTGTGTGTGTGTGTGTGTATATATATTGTTTTTTTTTTTTTGAGATGGAGTCTTGCTCTGTCACCAGGCTGGAGTGCAGTGGCTCGACCTCAGCTCACTGCAACCTCCGCCTCTTGGGTTCAAGCGATTCCCCTCCCTCAGCCTCCCAAGTAGCTGGAATTACAGGCACGCGCCACCATGCCCAGCTAATTTTTTGTATTTTAGTAGAGACGAGGCTTCACCATGTTGGCCAAGATGGTCTCAATCTCCTGACCTCCTGATCTGCCAGCCTCGGCCTCCCAAAGTGCTGGGATTACAGGTGTGAGCCACCATGCCCGGCCACATGAAAAATATTTTGATCCCATATACCTGTGTGTGTGCCCACACACCAATAAACTTCCTATCAATGTTGTTCTGGTTGTATCCCTTGAGATAAATTCTCATATCTATTATATAGAGGTACAGCAGGTCCTCCAATAATATTGTTTTGTTCAATATTGTTTTGCCTCAACATTGATGAGGAAAAAAAAAGTTCCTTATCAGTGTGGAGTTTGCATGTTCTCTCCATGTCTGTGTGGCTTTTCTCTGGAAGCTATGGCTTTCTCCTGTATCGCAAAGCTATGCACATTAGGTGAACTAGCATGTTTAAAATATCCCAGTCTACATGAGTGTGGGTGTGTATGTGAGTGTGCTCCGTGATGGGATGGTGTCCAGTCCAGGGCTCTTTCCCCTCCTTTCACCCAAAGTTTTCAGAAGACTTTTCAGCCACCCGTAACCCTGAACTGGCACAATTGGGTAAATAATTATCTTGTTTTTATAAGTTTTTATGAAATGTAGGTATAGTTCAAATTTCTTTCAATATTTAATATTAGAATTGTTTTGTTGTTAATCTAGGAATTTAATGACATTTTTGTTACTAGAAATATGTTTTAGGTACTCAACTCTTCTTTGTAACAATTAGCTTATGGTATAGAGTTTCATTATACATTGTTTCACTTAAAGTCACAGTGTCCAAAAACCTGTCCATAGCATTCAGTGAGGTCTTACTGTTTCACCAAGTTTGGTGGCTTACTTTTCTTAAGTAATAGGACCATTGTCACAGAGAAGCCCAGACTTAAGCGTTCACCAGGAATGACCTTTTATTACAAGAATGATTTTATATGTCTATTCTTACCAGCAAAGAGTTGACAAGAAGTAAAAAGAAAAATCAATAATCTCACTTAAGAATTGTGAAAAGACAAAGTAGATGATATAGTTAAAGAAACTGAGGGTAGTGGAAGATGGAAATAAGTTGTGTCAATTCTGAGAGTAAAACATAACAAATACCCTGCTCTTATTGGGACCAAATATGAAGAAGTACATAACTTTTGAATAAGAATTCCAGTTATATATTTACATTTTAAATAAGTTTCCAGGAATGATCGAGTTCAAATTTTTTTTATAGACATCAACTAATTGTGTTTAGAAGTAAGCTCAGATAAGTATGCCACATAAAGGGCTTGGCTAAACAAAAACAATCTTCAAAACAGGCCACAACTTGTAGGCAGAAGGGCTTACTTGCCTGTGAACCTCATTGTCTAAATCACCTTTAGAGAAGCATGCTTGACTTGAAGCATACCTGAAAACACTTAAGGCTGAACACTCTGTAATATTCTCTTCCAGTGAAGAGACCCTTCTTCTCTTTTCTAATATTATAGGGACAGTTTAATACTGTTCTTATAAATAAGAGAAAAACAATATATATTTGGGCACGAAATAGCCTGAACTTGGCTACTGAATATTGAAATATGTTACAAAGAATACCAGATATATTCCACCTTGAGACTTCAGGAAGTTGGGCCCAGGTGTAATTCCTCCAGCTGGGGGGAGGAGGACCCCCTGGTCTCAAAGATTACCTTGTCAATAAAATACTCCTGAGTCATTCTTGAACATTCCTGGTTGTCTATAACTAAGTGCTCCTGTTGAAATGTCAGAGTCAAAATTAGTGCTTATCATAATAAGCTACAAGGTGAAGAAAACCACTAGTGTTACAGAATTTTGAATATACAATAGGACTTTCAAAAAAAATCTATTTCACACTTTTATAGGCCCGAATTGCTGAAAACGGTCATTCAGTGATCATATCAGTGTCAGAATCATGGTGAGAAGTGAAATCTTGTGTGTTTTCATATCAATGTCAGAATCATGGTGAGAAGCGAAGTCTTGGAGGGACCTAAAGAAAAGAAAGAAGAAAGGAATGAAGGGTAGGAGGAAGGAAGGGAGGGGAAAATAACAAGAGTCATTTATCATATAGGTACTACATATTGTTATGCAAAAAGGTCAAATAAACAAGATAAACATTCAAATTGTAGAGATTCAGGTCTTTATACTACTAGTCCTGAATTTCCCAAAGGGTAGACAGAGGTTAAAGAAAACATAGATCTATCATTAATCTTCTACAACTAATATTTTCCCTATCCCCATTCTTAATTCTTATCTCTAGCTCAAATGCAAATTAATAATACTTTCTCATGAAATGCACTGTGGAGAACTCTTTAGGAAACTAATACTTCACTTCTGAATGTGTTACCAGTAGCAAATACATATGGGTCTACAGCAAGCTCAATTCTTGCCTCCTCAGAAGAAAGAATTTGTTTGGGGGACATAAGGCAGAAGAGACTGAGGCAAGTTTTCAAGCACGAGTGAAAGTTTATTAAAAAGCTTTATAGCAGGAATGAACAGAAGTAAAATACACTTGGCAGACGGCCAAGCTGGTGACTTGAGAGATCAAGTGCCTGGCTTGACCTTTGACTTGGGGTTTAATATGTTGGCATGCTTCTGGGGTCTTGCATCCCTTCTCGCCTGATTCTTCCCTTGGTGTGGGCTGTCCGCATGCACAGTGGCCTGCCAGTACTTGGAAGGGGCCACATGCGCAGTGTGTTTAGGGAGGTTCTAAGCATGCTCACTTGAGGTGTTCTTTACCTACCAATCAAATGTTGCTAGAAGGTCATATACCAGTTAAACTCTGCCATTTTTGTCTGTTACTGTGCATGCATGAGCCCACTCGCCTAACTCCAGAGATCTTATTGGGAAGCTGCTGATCACCAACTTTAGGTGTTTCTATCTATTGGAAGACCGCCTTTCCCTGGCACCAGCTGGGACCAATTATTATTTTAGAGAGCCAGTTTAACAACCTCCTGACCATCACCTGATGGTCCCCTGATATTACTGGTGGCAGGGGTCCCTCTCTTGTCCTGCTCATGTCTAACTAGCTACCTACTGTATCAAATAGAGTGTTCAATCATCCTATTATATAGCAACTGTCTTCAAAAAATTTACCTTTAATCGTTTAATTGAATTACCTAAGACAGCAATTTCAGCAATAGATTCAAATTTTCCATTGGAAAAAAGTCTAATAATACATATAAGCAACTAAAAAAAGATAATTTTGCTTTTATAGAAGTAAATTCTTCGATAGTACAACAAAAATACAGACTTATGATAAAACATATATTTTTTACTTTATTTTAAATTTCTTTTGATTTGGGGGTTGGTAACACATAACTATTTTTCATTATTTGTATCTGAATTTTATTTTTCCTAAATAAGACTTCTCTCTAGGAAAAATGTAATTAATCTTAGAAAATATTACTGTACTAAAGTATCCAGAATCCACTCTAGATTAGGTTTCAATGGCATGTGTTATCTGAAATACATGTATCTTTCTGAAATATCATGAATTACTTCTCTGATAACATTATAGTATGTACACAGACTAAAATTAAGGCTTACTCTTTTTTTTTTTTTTTTTTTTTTTTTTGATGGAGTTTCGCTCTTGTTGCCCAGGTTGGAGTACAGTGGCGCAAACTTGGCTCACTGCAACCTCCGCCTCCGGGGTTCAAGAAATTCTCCTGCCTCAGCCTCCCAAGTAGCTGGGATTACAGATGCCCACCACCACGTCCGGCTAATTTTGTGTGTGTGTGTTTTTAGTAGAGATGGGGTTTCACCATGTTGGCCAGGCTGGTCTCGAACTCCTGACCTCAGGTGATCCGCCTGCCTCGGCCTCCCAAAATGCTGAGATTACAGGCGTGAGCAACCATGCCCGGCCCCATTTAAGGCTGACTCTTTATCAGCATTTTTTTCCATAGGTTATTTTGTGGAATATTTAAGACAATATTTAATTTATTATCACTTGTTCCTTTTAATATTTGGCCATGTCTAGTTTGATCAAACAGAAACTTTCATAAATTGAAAGTTTTAAAATGCAAATATTAGAACTACCTAAAATTCAATAAAACTTCAAAAGAAATAGATCAATAGTGATGTGTTATCTGCGTGCCTTCGTTCATTCTCTTTGTTCCTCCCATATAACTCTTTGCACTTACTGTCTCTCTGGCTGACCTGCATTATTTAAGGCCCAGTTCATTTGCAACTCCTCATTGAAGCCCTCAGGAATGGTTTATAGCTATTAGCTCCTTTGTTTTGGGGAGTTGGATATTAAAACAGTTCATGCTTGTAAGGATAAACCTGATTTAGAGGTTCAAGTAAATAGCTAATATTGTTTATTTTTAATAGTCGCAAAATTGGTTTTTGGGGGGTTTTATTTCTGAGATGAGATCTTACTCTGTAACCCAGGGGAGCTGAAGTGCAATGGTGCAATCACATTGCAGTCTGGACATATCCAGGCTCAGGTGATCCTACCCCCTCATCTTCCCAATTACCTGAGATTACAGGCACAAGGCACTATGTGCCACACTAATTTTTGTTTGTTTTCACCATGTGGCCCAGACTGGTCTTGAACTCCTGGGCTCAAGGGATCCACCCACCTTGGCCTCCCAAAGTGGTGGAGTACAGGTGTGAGCCACCATGCCTGACCCGGTATGGGAATCAAAAAGTGATTGAGGCAGGTCTCAATGGAGTAGAGGTTTATTTAGCCAAAGATGAGGAGTAGGCTGTTTATGGGGTGAAGGAAGAATAGTCCACATTAGAGACTTTTATATCTAATAATATTTTAAATTTATTAAAAGAAATTCTCCTAATTCTCCCCAACACATATAATCTCTCTCTCTCTCTCTCTCTCACACACACACACACACACACACACACACACACACAAATGGCTTCTCCAACACCTCAATAAAGCACAACCCGATTCTTTCATCTTGTCAGATACTCCAGACTCCTCTCTTTTACTCTCAACATGATTAGATCCAGCAGGACATGCTGTTATTTCTGTCTGCAAAACAGTGAAAATTGGTCTTTCTCAATGATGCAACAGCTACTTTGGTCAATGCCTTCATCCCTTCTCACCTGGATACGGTTGATACCTTCCTTACTGGGCTTTTTGAGTCTTCTCTTTGGTTTCCTGATCTTGTGCTAGGCAGAATGAACCTCATTCAAACCTCCCATAACGTGTCATCACATCATACAGAGTCAAAACCTAAGTCCCACAAAGCCCCTAAAGGCTTCCTTCCTCCCTCATTATGCCTCCTGCTTGATGCTTCATCACTCTTCTCTTATTTCTCCGTAGCAAGGTGGACTTCTTATTTTCTAACATGCTAAGTCTCTATTCCCCAGGACTTTTGCATTTGTTTCCTTTGCCAGCTATAAAAACCCCACATATTCACATAGTTGTCACTGTTATTTCCTTCAGACTTTTTCTTTTATCTCAACTTTATTAATATTATTGTATTGTTATTATTGTTATTATTTTTGTAGAGACAGGGTCTTGCTCTGTTGCCCAGGGCAGTCTTGAACTCCCGGCCTCTAGTGATCCTCCCACCTTGCCCTCCCAGAACTTTTCTCTAAGGTCACATTCCCAATGAGGACATTTCTAAGACTTTCACTGTCCTATTACTTTCTAAGTCCCAGGGATACCTTAGCTTTATTTTTTTTATCAGCATCTGAAAATATGCATACTTCAACTTCTTTGTTTGATTATTTTTCAGAGTCTTTTCACTTGGATGGATAGGAACTGTTATTTGTGTTGGTCACTGCTATATTCTCAGAACTGGAAGAGTGTCTGAGGAGCCACAGGAGCATCTGTGACCTGTGCTTTTTCCAAACGGGCTTTTGTGAACTTCGGTATTTAAAGGAGCAAGAGCAAGCAGGAGGGAAAAAAGAGGGAGAGATAGTAGGCAATGAGGCAGATGGTTACATTCTCGTGAGGCTCTGTTTTGCCATAGTAAATCTACTTTTTAGAAGTGAAAGAGGAAGCAGACGAAAAAGTCAATTAGGCACTGTCATTTGCTCCGTAAATCTACATTTTACATAAGATAAGTAAGCAAGAGAGAGTAGAGGAAATGAGGCTATGATACAAGTTGTGAAATTACAGCTATGTGTTTAGGAACTAAAAGAAAGCAGTTTTTGTATGACTCAGTTCCCAAGCTGAACTTTCCCTTTGGCATAATGAGTTTGGGGTCGCAATATTCAATTTTCTTTCACAGGTTTAATATGATCTATCTTTACCAAAAATATAAGTTTATAATACATAGTTATAGCTCCCTGAATTTTAATTTAAAAAGTAATTATAGCTACATATCTGCAAATAGAATATCAATCGTACATGTAACCGTGTGGTAAATACACTTAACACAGTGTGTTTTAACAAGGGTCACAGTACATTCACCCGTCTATGACACTCTCTGTCATTTACAGAAAGTAGTTGTTAACTAGATCGTGCAATTATTTTTTAAAACTGTAACATATATTTACATTCAGTTTCAAAACTTAAATAATGTAAATATGTGGCCAGGCCCGGTGGCTCAAGCCGGTGATCCCAGCACTTTGGGAGGCCAAGGCTGGCAGATCACAAGGTCAGGAGATCGAGACCATCTTGGCTAACATGGTGAAACCCTGTCTTTACTAAAAAAAATACAAAAAATTAGCCGGGTGTGGTGGCGGGCACCTGTAGTGCCAGCTACTCAGAAAGCTGAGGCAGGAGAATGGCGTGAACCCGGGAGGCGGAGCTTGCAGTGAGCTGAGATTGCGCCACTGCACTCCAGCCTGGGCGACAGAGCGAGACTCCATCTCAAAAAAAAAAAAAAAAAAAGTAAATATGTTTAATATTTTAAAAATTCCATCTACATTGCCAAATGATTTGATTCAGTCAGACTTTTTTCCTCTAATCATAGGTCCCTTGTTGTTACCCACTTGTTTGCAGCTGAATTTAAGTTTGTAGTTAGAGAGTTGGGTAAAATATTCAAGAGTATATGTAAAGACTATTGGGAATAATATAATTTTTAAATGATAAATGATACTTTAAAAATATATAAATGGTAACAAGCCATTAGTGTAGATAATCACCTATACCAGGGATTCTCAGATTTGTTTGCACATTAGAGTCATTGGTATACTTCATAAAGATCTAGAAACCCCATGTAATACTGATAACTTATAGGTACAGTATTGGCACATCCTAAGTGATGTTAATGTATAAAGTTGAGAACTAATGACTTGGATGAGATTTTAGATGGTTATTAAAGCTATCACTGAGAGTGAGATCTTGCAGAAAGAGTATCTAGAGTAAAATGTGAAGAGGTCTCAGAAATGTGCCTGAGCATATTTAAACATGGGAGGAAAAGTATGAGGAAGCAATGAAGACTAAGAAGAGGCTCTCAATAAAGTTGGGGGAAATTTGTGAAATGACACCCAGGAGCCAAGAGGGAAGGGTGTTTCTCATTTTTCACAATGCTGAATGCTGCTGAGAGTCCTATTATAATATAGGCCAATGTAGATGTCATAGATGGCCTTGGGATAACTCTATGGTTATAAGCAGAAACCAGATGTCAGAGAATATAAAATGCAATGAACAGTAAATATGAACAACCATTGGAAAGGATGATTGTAAGGGAAAGAAGGTGATAAAATGATACTCAGCTAGAAAATTGAGTTGATTCCCCAGAAAGTGGTTTTTATTTCTTTTTTTTTTCTAAAGACAGAAAAGAAAAGCACATAAATGCTGAAGTAGTGATCTAATGGACTGAAAATAAAAGACAGAAGGCAAACATGATAGTGAAAAGATCCCTAAGAATGAGGGATGGGTGGCGGAAGGGTGCGGTCATAGGGTCACAGTGGATGAAGTTGGAGGTAGAGAAATGTTTGTTTCGCTCTGATTATTTATTTTCTGTCATTTTGCCATTCCATTGAATTAACATGTAAGACATGATACGTGTATAGCCCATGGAACAAGTTTTTGAAAAAGGAGACATTGTCTTATCTCTGTCCACAAGTGGGATACAATATACTAGGAAAGGCAGATACCTAAGCAAGTTATTGTGATGTGGTAGAAATTGCAACAGAAGCTAAGAGGATGGAAGGGTTCAGTTCTGGGGGGATTCAGTTCATGGAGGATGGCCATACAAAGGAAACTTATTAAAGATTGGTTTAATAAAACAGAGTAAAGGCATTCATCGGAGAGAAGAAAACTATTAGTAACTATTTTTCAATGTCTGATCATTGCCAACGGGGAACTAGAAACTTTACAAACCTTAAAAGCATTCGGTTCTTTAAATACCACGGGTTAGGTGTTATTATCATTCCCAAATGATAGATAAAGCAAGCTTGGGCTCAGAGAAAGTAATTTTTAAAGGATATAGGTTTTAAATGGAAAATCATGATTCTCATACAAATATAAATAGGAGGTGGCAATTTTAACATATTCATTAATAAGGGAACTAATAAGATGTTACAACTGATTCTAATTTAAAGGTGTATACACACATACACATAGAAAAGTAATGCTGAAATCAATGTATAAATAGATACTAAGTTGCCTTCTGTTATAGTTTTATTTTGTTAGCTAAACTGTGTTTTTTGGTGTCAGACTGTTCCTTCACCAGGTAGAATTTGTATGTCTTTGGACTGTAAACAACATAGAACCTTCTTACTACATTTTACCCTCCCCTCACCCATAGAAACAAATAATTGAAAGATTATGCTAAATGATGCCTTGTTTTTTTCAGTAAAGACTCCCATGAATATTTGAGGGATTTTTTTAGAAGTCTGACACAATATTTCCCCCTACAAATGTTTTGTTTTGTTTTGTTTGAGACGGAGTCTTGCTCTGTTGCCCAGGCTGGAGTGCAGTGGCCTGATCTCAGCTCACTGCAAGCTCCGCCTCCCGGGTTCCTGCCATTCTCCTGCCTCAGCTTCCCGAGTAGCTGGGACTACAGGCACCCGCCACCATGCCTGGCTAATTTTTTTGTATTTTTTAATAGAGACGGGGTTTCACCATGTTAGCCAGGATGGTCTCCATCTCCTGACCTCGTGATCCGCCTGCCTCAGCCTCCCAAAGTGCTGGGATTATAGGCGTGAGCCACCCACCGCGCCCGGCCTTCCCCCTACAAATGAATTGCTCAGCTTTCAGAGATAATTAGAGTCTGTATTCTAAAAATACAAAATCCACAACTGCACACTGATTTGAACTGATCCAGTGTGTTACACATTGAGTGGTGGTGGGTTGGGTCTTCCCTTTTAAATCGATGTAGTATATTTGGAAAACAACTAGTTGATTTTAAAATTGTAATCTTAAAACCGTTGAACTTTGGGCACTGGCAAAAGTAGGATGTGTGAAAGAAGATTAATCTGCCACTTTTGTGTCATTAGTATGTTACTCTAATGACACTAAGTGACCTGCTTTCCATAAGGTCAGCTATACAAACATTTACATAGAATATTCTGTTATGAACTTTCAGGTGAATTAAGACATCGAGCACAAGAATTCTGGATATTTGAAAGAAAAATAATTCTTATATCTGTGTTATATATTTCCTATAATGTCTCTGGTGCTTAAAAATAATTACAACAAAACATGTTCAGAACAGCAGTTGCTTACTATAGCACTTAGAGAACAAAATGCATCACACTTCAAATGCATAAATGCAAAAGAACTAAGATAGTTTAGTGCCACAATTTTTACTGGAATTTGAGAAAAAGAACTTCTCTCTGGATATGATGTATACCAGAAAGCCACAGGGTGATAATGTGGTCAGTTAGGCATGATTTTCTATTTAAACTGAGTTGAAAAACATATGTTACTATCTGTGTACTCTACTGAATTTCAAACACATAGAACAAACAAAACAGTACTTCTGATAAAAGTAGCTCATGCACTGTTTAATGCCAAGTACATTCTCTTAAAACAGAATGAAGTCACTTGCTTTAAAAATGTATAATATAATCTCTGAAAGGCAAATGCTATGTCAGTCACATAAATTATAAATGAAGGACCCAAGTTTAGGACTCAAGAAAAAAATAAATCTTGATACAGTCATCACAAAGAGTACCCTTTCATGTAATTTTTAGGCCTAGAGACAAGGGACCAATCTAATATTAGTATAATGTACTTAAGGCTGTACTGCTAAGTTGTATTCTAATGAACAAATACAAGATTTAAGACATTTCATTGTGATGATTACAGCTAGCCCTAAAATATGTTAATTTTCTTCCTGCTTAGCTTGTTTTCAAGTGCTTGATTCTTTTCATTCACCGTGTGAATTATCTTTAAGAATGTGTTCACAACTGAAATTAAATACAGACCATATCCAGGTCATATCATTTTAACCTGCTTTTTTTTAAAACCTATTCCATTAATGCCATATTCTTTGTTGCACCAAAGGATATTCTATCTAGATTTTTATATTAATTACAATACTGGTTTACTTTTCATGTTTTGACATTCAGTCTCACAAAAGGAATTGGTTAATGGCAAAAGTCTTGCAAATTCTCTTGATTATTCTATTTTCTTTAGATACTTAGCATAACACATTTCTTTATGAAGACAATAATTTCAAAGTGTCACTATGAAAACCCAAAGTAGTTAGAATTGCTCTGTCAAGCGGCTTTTTGTCATTCATTGTCTTCTTTGAAGAATTATATTTTTTTTCTTGCAGCTTCAGTTTAGAACCTTCTAGTTAATAACTCATCTTGAATTTTACAAGAGAGACTAGTCTAACATAGTTGACATCTATTGAGCACTTTTGTGCCAGGCACTTTTTAGTACTTTATATAAACAATCTCATTTATTTCTTACCATGACACAATGATGTTGTTAACATGTAAACTGAGGAAGAGAAAACTGAAGCATCAATACTAAAGGACATTTTCCAATGTCATAGAGTTACTAAGATGCAGGGCTGACACACTCCTCATATCTGCTTGACAAGAACATATATCTTGTTTTAATTAAATTATATACAATGACATGTGAGCAATTTATGTCTATTTTCTGGGATCTTGAGCAACTTTAATTTTAGTTATCATTCTCTTTTATTGTGGATGGCAATAGTTATAATAATAATTAATATCATTATGAACAATTGGTGTTTGGAATGCACTTAGTCTGCTCTTATTGACTCAACTGAAATCAGTGGTTTCCATTCAGTGATGCAAGATACAACATCACATTCTCAGATTCTTCTTAACACCTGAATATTTAGGTTTACAGTAGGAAGATGAAATCCATCTTCCAACCATGCACTCTGTTCCTGCATATAATGTTGTTGTGCCATGAGACTTTTCCTGCAGGCTTTTTTTTCTAATTAAAGCCTGTAACCACAGATATGTTCTCTTAGCCAAGCATCTTTATGCTTGGGTAAAATGAATTTTAAATATATCAATTAAGCCTTGAAAGATAAATATATGAAAAAGTAGGCTTTGGGCAAATTTGTAAAAACTGAAGGATTTGCTCTGCTCATGTTAGGAAGATGAGAACAGGGTTGGACATTGGTCTTGCTTGATAATAAGTAAATTATCTTTGGGGCTTTAAAAGTTTCTAGTAATGATTTTGAGTGCAATGAATTTTTTCTTTGCTTTGCTTTCTTTGGATGTACAGGGGACAATAGCTATGATTATGTCAATAACATATCTGAAGGAAATTATGGGAAAGGAAATGTTAAAAAGAAAGAAAAAGGAAAGAAAGAAAGGAGAGAATAAAGGAAAAGGAAGAAAGGAATGGTATAGTTTTGTGGAAGCAACCTTGAGACAGTAAATTTAATAATCACAGAAATGAAATAGAAAAGAGTATAGCACTTTTTTTATACAAGAATAAAGCTTTTAAAAAAAGTAATGTGAAATGACATTTCCATGAAGGAGGCTATTTCTTTTTTCCTAAGTTTCTGCTTGACTTTTCCTTCCATTCGTCCCAAGCTAGAAGGAATTGGGTAGGGGAAGGAGGCTTATGGCTGAGAACAATAGATACTAATTCTCATATGTTATCTGGTCCCTGGTGTCTGACACTCTAACTACATCCAGTGTTGCAAAGGAAGTAAAACATGGCAAGGGATCAAGGAGATTTTGAGTCTGAAGAAGATGGAAGTTTAGGAAACTGTGTTTTAGCAAGCAGCTGATGGTACCAGGCATGGATTTCTGCCTCTTCTTCTCCTTGGTTGGAGAAGGCTCTAGAGAAAATCTTGTTTTAACATGAAGATGTTATTCTATATATAAGGAATTAACACTCACTTGCTGAGTTTGCAGAGCTATGAAATCTGTAAAGTATGTTTTGTATTTCCAGCGGAAAAAGAGAAAGCCAAGGAAAGAGAGGGAATAATGGAAAAGAGAGGATACAAGTGGAGACTTCCATAAAATGCATACAGGAAGGAGTGAGTTTTCATTGGTTAAAAGTAAGCCTGAGCTGGCTATCCATGCACCACCCCAAACAGCTACAATAGGTTTCCCAGGGGACAAAAAGACTCCTGTACATACTATGTACAGGTTCTGGCCACTAGAGTTGCCTGCAGTGCAGTTGGCTGAAGGGTGGCCGTGGTTGTTCTCCATCAGTCCCCTCATGGGCCACAGGAAAGAGCCAGTATCCTGGGATCAAAGATGAGAAATCTTTGCAGCAGCTACGGAGCTGGGTCTCTGTGTCTCACCTTGGAGACAGGACTAAGGTGTGTTGGCCCCTTTGCTATACAGCAAACTTCTCAGAAGGAGGACTCTGGAGAAATGGAGGAATCTCAGGGAGAAATCTGGGGGCAGTGAGTGAGATAATGATGTGTAAAGCTGACTGACTGTTTACCTCATTGAAGCTATTTTAGAAAGAGAGTGACTAGAATTTCTTAGAACAACATTCTATTTTCCTCTGCCAAGAAATATGATGGCTCCAAACAAAAAATTAGGTTGAGTTAGGGAAAGAGTTTCAGGTTTCACACTTCAGGATTCTGACTGCCCAGCTCATCCCTGTCATAGTTCCTCAGGGACACTTTTCTTTGACCCACCTCAGTGGTTCTTTTTTTTGTGTGTGACAATGCTGAAATGGTCTTACTCTTTGTCTGATTCTTAGAGAAAACCAAGGTTTATCTAAGTAAATGTACCTTATATAAAAGAAGAATAGAGAATTTTAAAGTCTTTGTAGCTCTTGATATTATTTTATTAAAATATAAATATAATATCTCAAAGATTCTTAAATCTATTTTGCCCCATCAACAATCCATCCCAACAAGCACATTCAGATCTTTATCTAGAGATACAAAAATATGCTACGGAATTACAATGGCAACACAAAAGGGAGCAATATTTATATGGCACAATTCACAGTAGCAGAGTGGCATTGTGTCCTTAGCATCCTGATATATCTAATGCAATGAGTCTTTGGAATCAGAGAGAATATAAAATTCATGCAGACATATCAAAAGACTAAGTTTGTTAGGTATTTATCAGGTTAATTAAAGTGTATTATTGGAATGTAGAATTACATAACTTGATTAGAGTACCAAACCAGGAGTGGGAGACGGAGCTGCATACAGTGACTCTCCCCAGAAATGATTAGTTCTCTGACTGTTTCTATATATAGTGTTTTTCCAGTACTTTATAGTTTCTCTGCTATAAAATTGGATGTGCAATTTTCGTAGACCATTTTTGAGAAAGTCATATGGATTATGAGATCTGGGTATGAAAGCTGAAAGAGGCTGAGTAGCTACATGTACCTCAAATTTTAATTCGACACTCTTGTCTGCCATGTGAATTCATCAAGATTAACATGTTTTGTGGTTATGCAAGCTAAATCCCTAAAAATGCAATTTATCTGAAACAAATAATGTGTTAACTTTGATCTATTCACAGGAAAATATGAAAACGTATTTAAAATACAGCAAATATGAATATAAAATACAAAAATAGAGGAGTTTTATAAGAGAAGCAACGAATACAGGGAGGCTTATGGAAGAGTCAGCCTTCATATTGAGTTTTGAAGTGTGAGAAGTGTCCAGTGATAGGTTTGAAATTGAATCAAAAAGGTATAGAGGGGAGAAAACAAGCAAATATATTTGGAAAAAACTCATAATTTGGTTTTAACTTAATCACAGATCACCTAAAATAAAATAGTAGAAGGTTGGTAAAACAGGGAGAGCTTCAAGTGCCAGGTTAGCATATCTGCACTCCATCTGACCAAAGGGAAATAATTGGGGATCTCTAGCAAAGAAATGACAGAAAAAGTACTGTGTGTCTTAATGACAGATGAAGTCAATATGGTGGTTAGAAGTCAGAAAATGATAGCAGGATCGTGAGGAAGTGATAAAAAAGACCCAGTTTTCATGAGATGAACAAGTAGACTGGGGTCCAGACCGTGGGGTCCTATTCCAAGTAGAGCAGCCTAGGGCACAATAAGAGTTTTTCTAGGGTCTGGATGCCATGGGTGGAGAGGGAACCTTGTAGGAAATAGACAGAAAATCTGATGTTGGAAAGGTGCTGAATTAGTTTGTTCTCACACTGCTATAAAGGAATAACTGAGATGGGGTAATTTATAAAGAAAAGAGATTTGCCTGTATACATATGTAACAAACCTGCACATTGTGCATATGTACCCTAGAACTTAAAGTATAATTTTTTAAAAAAAGAAAAGAGATTTAATTGGCTCATGGCTCTGCAGGCTGTAAATAAAACATGTCACCATCGTCACCATCTGCTTGGCTTCTGGGGAGGCCTCAGGAAACTCACAGTCATGGCAGAAGGTGAAGGGGAAGCTGACACTTCTTACATAATGGGAGCAGGAGGAAGAGACAACAAGGGAGGAGGCCCCACACACATTTAAACAAGCAGATCTCCTGAGAACTTGCTCACTATACAGTACCAACAGGGCATGGTACTAAACCATTCATGAGAGCCCCACCCCCAGGATCCCATCACCTCCCACAAGGCCCCACCTCCAAAACTAGGACTACAGTTCTACATGAGATTTTGTTGGGGACACAGATCCAAACTACACCGGGCACTTTAGAGAGGTTTTACTGCTTTATAATCATAGTGGCATCTTCGGACAATAGTCTTTTTTACACACTAGTGCCAGTAACTTTTTTGGGAGTTTGTAAATAAACTCCCACTTTGGTAGAGTAAAAAGAAATAATAAACAATAAAAATAAACCTAAAATAAAGATCCTGTGACTTATTTCTCTTCTATAACCTTGAATTTTCCATTTCTCACTTTAAGTTAGATCAGCATTTCCCAGAGGTCCATAGTGTTCCACCAGGTGCTAATAGATGTTACAAAATGCAACAATTCAAACAAAACATAATAGCACCTCCATGCTCAATAAAGTTGTACAAGTTCTGGAGCAAAAACTATATAGTTTTCATTACTCCAGTATCTTCAATGACATTAATAAACTACTTTGTATTTTAAAGTCCAAGTAGAGAATATACTATGCAGCAGTTTACAAAATTAGTTGAACATCGAAGTAATTTTGTTTTAGTTTTTAGTAGAACATTGCATGGGGCTAGAAGTTCTCAGAACATTTCCTGAAACACTAGGGACTTGCAACCATTCTAATCATCCCTCTGGGAGGAGGTTTACGTTTGTGAGTAACTATAACGCTTATCAACTGCAAAATTTAGACCATGTCACATGATCAACATAATCATCTCATATTTTATAGTAACTAAAATGTGTTATGTCATCCAAGATTATAATTTTGATATATGCATAAAAGCTTATGTTGAACATAATTTGTAAGCATTAGTCAAAGCTAATTTCAACTAATATTAGGCTTATTATTCAAAGCACATGACTATCTCAGTTAAATACATTCTTTTGGAAATTGTTTATGTAAAACAATGAAAGATGATTTTGCCCCCATATAGATATGTGTACTACTGAAAGTATAACATGTAATATTTAACTTACAAATATATAATATTGAATTGTTTCTCTTCAAAAGCCAGAGCAAAGAAATAATAACATGTCTTTTTAAGATGGAGAAACTACAACAAATAAAGATTTATCCTCTAATATAAACTTTTAAAACAGGTGCCTTCATTTTGGCATGAACTCAATTTTTCTTCCAAGTCAAAGAATATGAAATTGCATTTAAATAAATGCTTCTTTACACAGCTGTCAGCAAAGACTTATGCTTTACCTAGAATTTGTTCTGCTCTGACATTTGCTGAAATTTAAAGATGTGCCTAGACATTTATTGTAGGAATATATGCTTCTCAAAAAAAAGATAAAATTCTAAAGGCAAAAGCAAAAAGTTTAATTGATTTATAATAGTACATCTTGAACAAAAATGGTAGATTAACAATTTATTTTTTATGATTAATAAAATATCAATTTTTCTGTATAAGCCTTGGTTTTATTCTCTTTTCATTAAATCTGTGGCTCCCTTCTGATTCCTTATGTTTTTATCTTTATGAAAACTCTACCATTCTCAAAATAAAATGGGTCATCAAAATCTTGAATAGGAAATACAATTGAGTGCATAAAATATCCAGTAATGAACATATGGTACATCATAAAACTTGCTTAATAGTCTTTTCAAGGCAGAACACTGGTAAATAATCATGTGTATTTTGTAAAAAGAAAAATTATGTGTAAATGCTAATAAATAAACAATAACTAAAATACTATTTAGACTACTCTCCTTTTTCCCCTTCTATAACTGTCTTTACTATCATATCTCTCTTCTACCATCTCCTTTCTGTTGTCTTCTTTCTTCTCCAAGGTCAAAATGCATATCATTTCCAAGTTAAATGCGAGGCTCTAATTAGTGGCTTATCTCATTACAAAGCCATATAATTTTCAATTAATTCAAACTTAATAAACTTGACAGCTTTCTATTCCGAATAGCACTGCCTCAATTACAACTGTGTTTTCACTAAGTTTAAATAATTATGTGTATTGTGCAATGTAGAATTTATATTTTTAAGAAGATCATCACTAGCCAGGACTGGAGTAATCTGAATACAATAATATTAGAATATCTACTTGCAACCACAATATTATAATCACTTAAATATTATGTGATAATAAGAGATCTTAAATTTCAAGTTTCAGCTGTTTCTCAACATCATTTTTCTGGTTTTTAGAGTCACTTTCCACATCGATAATGTCATTTACACAAATTTATAAATTCCCAGTCACATCACAATCATACAATATTTAAACTCATGGATTTAACAATTTTCAAAATGAATAAAAAGTTATCATTATATACTGGAAGTGTATTAAATCTTGAAAGCTTCTTCTCATCTTATTGAAAACAAAAATTAATCCTTAGAGTTTGTATGTCTTGCCAAAGCTCACACTGCTAGTTAGAAGAGTCAGGATTAATGCTGTCTTCTATTTTAATTGTTGTTTTGATCGTGTCATGCTTGTCTAGAGTTTAGTCATTAGGCAAGTATTCATTGAGACCCTAATATGTGACAGGCACTATTCTTAGTTCTAGGAATGAAGTCATGAAAAACAAAATCTGCACTTGAGGAAATTACATTCTTGTCGGAGTCAGAGAGACAAACAGTAGACAAACCAAAAATAAGATAATGTTTAATCATAAGTGATAAGTACATGCCCATACAGCCACATAAGATGGAGCTATGATCTAGAGTTACTGGTTATCAAAGTAGCCTTTGTGAGACTTAAATTATGAAAAGATGTCAATCAAATACAGATCTAGAGGATGAGTGTTAGAAGCACAGTGAACTAATTGCAAGTGCAAAATCCACAATGTGGGAATGACCTTAAGCATATTTTGGAGAAGCAAGTTGCCAAGTGCAGTATAGTGAGTTGGAGGGAGATTGGTAAGAGGTGAAGTCGAAAAAGGATGCAGAAGGCAGATCATAGAGAGCTCAGTAGGCCCTTGTTAAAAGTTGAGCTTTTACACTATAGGATTTAGCATAGAGTTTCAGGACTCCATGATATCAATTAGAATACTAAGCACAAAGCAAGAGAATACAATAATGTCACTTTTTTTCTTCTAGAAGACCATTGGCAAAGGCCTGGAGAATGGATTTTAGGTAGAACAAGGCTGGATCAGAGAGACAATTAGGAGGCTATTGCAAATGATGATAGAACACTGAGCTAGAAGCAATGAAGAGTAGCACTGTATGGATTTATGATAGAGTTTGGAAATAAAGCCAGCAGAAACCAGGAGAGTGACAGAAAGAAACAAATTATGAGCTACTCCTAGATTCTTTGCTTGAGAAATTGGGTAGATGGTAGTGTCTTTAACAGAGATGGGAGGAGACATGCAAGTGAATCTTGTTACTTTTTTTGTTTGTTCCTAAACATATTATTGATAAAAATAATTATGCATATAAGCGCAGTGATATTTTTTGCAACTGTTTATAAAACTCTATTCTTGATCTACTGTCAAATTAGTAAACACTGCTGACATTAACACAGTGGCTACTATTTTAGGTAAATAATTGTTCTATACTTCACATTTGATTGTGAAGGGAATAAACATTATTTATGAAGAATGACATTGTGAAATACTTATTCTTAATAAATTTCTCATCATTTTTGTATACATTCATCTAGAAATCTTTAGATGATTATTGACTGTTTTGTGTATTTATGTATTAGTTTGTAGAATTCAACTTGATACATTCAGAGAGGGTATGTGTTAATAAAAACGTCAATATAGAAAAGAATTTATGATGTGTATACTTAGGCTTTTAAAAAAGTGGTAGCACATATTTCTTAATATTCCCATCTATCAAATAAGCTTAAGCTCTGAGCAAATGAGCGCTGTGCTCAAAAACTAATGGGGTCCATGCTAGTAGTTCTTAGTAGGCAAAATACCACAGATCCTTTATCAATAACCTAGATGCATACCCACAGATACCCCAAAGTAGTTAGTTCTTTCATTCATTTTCATCTAAGCTGATGTGACTGAATTGAAATTTTTTAAATCAGCAATTCCTCTCTTAAGGTACATGCAGGAGAAAGAAGAGAAATGAGTGGATGGCTCAAATGTATATGGTGAAAGGAAATGTTAAAGAAGATAGATAATTTATAACTATAGTGGGCACTTTGTACTGGAGTTTATGTAGAATATCTTGGTTATTATTTTCTTTAGTTGAAGAACCTCAGACTTTAGTGAGCCTAAGGCCATACACCTTCCTGGTAGCAAAGCTAACACAGAAACTCAAATTCTTGAATTTCAAGTTAATGGAGTCAAACAATATTAAAACAAAATATAATGATTAAGTATAATTTTAGGCAATAATTAATAAAGGTTCTATATATGACACCTATGGTTTTGCTACAAAGTATCCAAGAATCCTAGAAATTGTACATAAATTGTATGTAAATTTTTAAGAGGATTTGCATATTCTATCACATTGTTAAATATTATCCCAAGTAAGTTAAGATTCATTATCTTAAACACACAAAAAAAGTAAGTAAGTAGGGATACATCAGAGTGCCTGTCAAAATATGTAACTCGTATTTTGGCAGCAATGTACATGTTGGTCGCCTTCTTTGAGTACATAAGATTACCCAAGGAAATTTGAAAGATAATTACATGTAGGTGTATGCATATGTGTGTATGATTGTGTGCATAATAGATGTATGTGTGTAAAACTGTAAACTACAAATTCATATATCTAGTTTTTTTCAGATATATACACCCACACACACAGAGAAATAGAATATCAAGCCATGTTCTAACTGTGCACTATCCCTCATTTCATCTCTAAAAGGAGGCACTCAGATAACAGCCATATTGCTACAAACTTCTCTCATAATCTCTTTCGGGGGCTGTTTGACACTATTTTCCTGAAAACCTGATTGTTAAGCATGCTCTGTTTACATAATAAACAATTGCAGCACAAATCTAATCTTCAATAATTTTATGTTAAAGTCAGTGGAGGTACTTTATTGAGTGTATTTTTAATACAGTTTTACATCAGATATGTGGTTGAGAAAAAAACATAAACAATAAAGATGTTTTAATTTCAGAAAAGAAATGAAGATCAAATTTACTTGAAACTAACCAAATCAAATGACAAAAAAATCAGTCTCTATCCCAGTTCTGGCACTAGTGTTATAGAAGAAGGGGAAGTCAGTAGAAAGAGAAATGACAGAATGAGAACCATCTCATTTAAGAATAAAAGGTTTTTGTTCAGTGAAGCAACAAATATAATAGGAAACATTTTAAAATACCCAATTAACAACTCTGATACCTGAAAAATCTATTGACTGCATAACTAATAACCATGACTTAAATTGTAAACTTTTTTCATTTCATTGAAGTTAAGCAGGGAATTGTTTTATCAACACAAAATTATTTATCCTTGTTATTTACCAAGAGCGTATCCATTGCATGTGTAACTATAACCTCCTGAAAAAATAGGATTAATTCATTTTCTCAACCATTGTTTTAAGCACCTGCTATTTAAATATTGTTCTAGCACTGCAGATTACAATTATTCATATAATTGGGGGGATTTAAAGAAATAAAAAATAAATAAGAAAGAATTGATTAAAAAGAAGAGAATACAAATGACAGGAAAATGGCTTAAATTTAGAAACAGGAAAAACTATGGTGAATAGCCTTCAGATTTGGGTAATAAAAAGAGGAAATTTGAAAAATAGTAATAGATTTTCTAAGGGTCTTCTAAACTATCTTTAAGACTAATAAATATTGTAAGTTGGGGAGTATAAGGATATGAATTTTGATCAAATTATTAAAAGATTAGTAGTCACACAGAAGACTTTGGCTTTGACATGGCAAACTGTAGAAAGACCTGGGCAGTTTTCAAGGAAGGGCTAAAATGTGGTATATGAGTGGGACAGCATTAGGCACAGTAGGTTTGGGAGTTATAAATCAGCAGGTGCTGCATGGCGTCTGTAGGAATGAACAGCTGAGCAAATCATCATTTCTTCATCCAAATGCCGAGAACCTAATAAGTGGTAAAAATGAACAGACATAGTCCCCTTATGGTGACTTTTTGTCTTCTATTTTTTATCTGCTTTTAATTTTAACATTAAAAATTTTAATTTAAAAGGAAGCCATAATGTATTATCTTGCTCATTTAATTAATTACAGAAGTTAACAATGAGAAAGGAATGAAAGAAAGTCAAGGTAGGGTCAGGGTAAGTTAGGTTATACTGCAGAAACAACCTTACAGTTTTCATGGCCGATTACAATAAATGTTTGTATCCTGCTCATCATACATTCACTGTGTTAGCTGAGGACTTTGTTTCCTATTTTGTTATTAGCTAAGCTAATGAAGCAGCCATTATCTTGTGAGTTGACAGTTGCTGTGACAGAGGGAAAAAGAATACTGACAATTAGATATAACATGGTGCATCCACTCAAAACTCATTGAATATGGCTAATTGTACCCACCATGCAAAAGAAACCCATATGCAAGGGAGTGTGGGTGGATGTAATCCTGCCATGTGTTCAGCAAATAGGGAAATAGAAGTATTTCCTCAGCTTCTACAATGAGATGGAGTAAGACTCCTTCAAAAAAATGTGAGACTGGTGAAAGGCTTTTTTGTTTTTTCAAAATGTTAAAAATAGTGTTTGATACCATGTGAAAATAATGGAGTATCATACAATAATTTTTTATATTATTATACTTTAAGTTCTGGGGTACATGCACAGAAAGTGCAGTTTTGTTACATAGGTATACACGTGTCATGATGGTTTGCTGCACCCATCAACTCATCATCTACATTAGGAATTTCTCCTAATGCTATCCCTCTCGTAGTCCCCCATCCTCTGACAGGCCCAGTGTGTGATGTTCCCCTTCCTGTGTCCCTGTGTTCTCATTGTTCAGCTCTCACTTATGAGCGAGAACATGTGGTTTTTCGTTTTCTGTTCTAGCGATAGTTTGCTGAGAAGGACGGTTTCCACCTTCATCCATGTCCCTGCAAAGGACATGAACTTATCCTTTTTTATGGCTGCATAGTATTCCATGTGTATATGTGCCACATTTTCTTTATCTAGTCTATCATTGATGGACGTTTGGGTTGGTTCCAAATCTTTGCTATTGTGAATAGTGCCACAATAAACATACATGCTCATGTGTCTTTATAGTAGAATGATTTATAATCCTTTGGGTATATACCCAGTAATGGGATTGCTGGGTCAAATGCTATTTCTAGTTCTAGACGCTGGAGAAATCGCCACACTGTCTTCCACAATGGTTGAACTAATTTACCCTCCCACCAAAAGTGTAAAAGCGTTCCTATTTCTCCACATCCTCTCCAGCATCTGTTGTTTCCTGACTTTTCAGTTAGAAAGGCTTTTTTTTGTTTGTTTTTGTTTTGTTTTGTTTTTTAAGGGTCAGGGGTGTATACAATATTGAATTCAATGTCTGGTGAATTTAATAACTTTTCTAAACTATTCAAGGATGATCTTTTGAATGTTGTTATTAATATAGGGATTGAAGACTCATAAAGTGGCTGGGATATATATTTGGTCGTTACTGGATAGAATTTATAGATAAAGTTGCAGAATGGGGATTTACTGAGGGCATGACAATTCAGAGAGACCAGAAAAACAGCAATGACAGATTGCAGTTGGTGTTGCAATGAGGAAGAGCAATCCAGTAGTCAGAAAAGAAGAAAGAACAATGTGGACAATGCATTCAATGTATCTTACAAAGAAGTGTTTCTAGAAGTAAGTGGCACAGCATGTCAAATACTAAAACAAGTTGAATGAGGGAGAAAATGTTAATGGAATTGGCTTATAATAATATCTAACATGCAATCAACACTTACACCGGTCAGACCCCACTTTAAGACATATAAATATGAACTCATCTCACTTTTAGACTCTTTATTACAGATGAGACATAATGAGCGAGTAAAAAACCCTGAGGTCACATGACCAACAAATTGCAGAGACAGAATTTGAACCAGACATTCTGGCTGCAGAATTCTGGTCTGTTCTTAATCACTATTTTATATTTTAATGTGTGTTTCTAGGTATATTTCCCCCAATTAAAGCAAAGATAAAATGTGGATTACAAACTAGTGATAATGGTAAATGGGGCATGGAGACAAGTACAGTCTATATGCTTGTGGAGTTTAAAAATAAAACAACACAGATATATTTTACATTATTAAATTAAAGCTGTGTTAAGATAAGATTGAAGTTTTCTGACCTGGTTTGTTTTTAGAAATAAGTCATTTAAACATCATTACTGGAAAATAAAGGAGAAAAATGAGTTAAACCTCGTAGAACACCCACTATTTTAATGTATTCCATTAAACATTCAGTTATTGAATTTATTGAAACAGACACCTTCCTCAATTTGCAGAATATTAACTAACAGCATCACAATTCACAACTAGGTTTTTTTGGCTTCAGAACCCATATTCCTTTCACTGTGCCATATCAGGGGACACACAGTGAAAAAAACTATTAGTGAGATTTTTTTATGTGTTTAATAAAGGGATAGCAACTTAGATAGAAATACTAGAATTCAGTGAAACAAAAGAAACATTTTTATTTTTTTCTGAAAATGAAAGTAAAGATACAAAAAGTATAGAGACAGAACTCTGTCAATTTGACAATGGCTATATATGCAGATGCATGTGAAATTAATAACAGTAGTAAAACAAACACTGACTACATATTTTAAAATCATTTGCTACCCAGCTATGATGTCCTCAAAGTAAATGAAGAAATCTTAATATGAGTTGACTATAATTGCTTCCAAAAAATGGCTGGAGATATTTATGCTCCGCTAAAATCTGTCACATGTCCATTATGTAGTGATATGTTAACTAGCCTACATTTCTTTGTGTTTGTTTTTTGAACAAGTTAGGCAGCAGTAACTGTCTTCAGTTATCATCTGATAGGAAAAAATGTATTTCCAAGGATCATTCTTACAATTAAATTATCATGTCACATGTGGGTTTTGAATTTATGTGTTTTTTTTCTTAAAATTATTTTAATCTATATTCTCTTTTGTTATTGTTGTTAGTACCAAGAGGACCAATTAAATTTTCTGATTCTTTGGACATGTTATTTTTAAGACAGTGTGCCACGGGGACGAGGGCATAGATGTTTCTAGCCTATTTAGACAATTAATATTCTGAACTAGGCTTGCATTAGGTGAAGAGGCATAAATGAAAAGAAAAAGGGAGGAAATATATTTGCCAAAGCAAAATCCCACATGCTTCTCTGTTTCTTCCTCCCTCAAGAGTGAAACAAGACAATTTTCTCTATAACTTGTATGAGATAGAACAGTAGCAGTGTGATCTGTCAGTATGATGTTAAGCATAAGAAATTTTTCCCAGAGCAGCTACCTCACATACGCATGTCGATGTGTGTACATGTGTGTTTAGTTTTCTTATTATAATTCCCAGTATTCTACACTATTTGGTTTAACATTTATGATTAGAGCCAATCCTCTATCCAGTGTAAATAACATAAATAAATACCCCAATTTTAGTGCTCTAATGTACGAAAATCAAAACCTTATACGATTAAAGGGGTATCTGTAATCACTGACTCTTTGAGTTTTACATACAACAAAATGCCAGATGATAGAGAAAATGCCACATAATTGTCTATATCTAGGTATATCTGACCTTGGTTTTCAATGTGGCATAGATACAGCCATTTAAAAATGAAATGAGTTAGGTCATTGCCTACCAAATTCTTGGAACTTAATGATTTAGAAGAAAGATGATAAACATGTAATGTTTTGGCAACTTCCTTGCTTGATTTCTAATGCTTGTTTACCTTAATAACTTAGTAGGTTCTTTTATCATCATTTATCTATTCTCACCATTTCTCAACCCTATTAAATCAATGCAACTACTTCACCTCTCTGTTTTTGTTTTCACACAGAATTTTTTTTTTTTTTTGACTGAGTCTCGCCCTGTTGGCCAGGCTAGAGTCCAGTGGCACGATCTCCACTCACTGCAACCTCCCCCTCCCGGGTTCAAGCGATTCTCCTACCTCAGCCTCCCAAGTAGCTGGGAGTACAGGCACCTGCCGCCACTCCCGGCTAATTTTTTGTATTTTAGTAGAGATGGGGTTTCACCGTGTCGCCCAGGCTGGTCTTGAACTCCTGAGCTCAGGCAATCTACCCACCTCGGCCTCCCAAAGTGCTGGGATTACAGTCGTGAGCCACCACCCTCGGCCTTTTGGCTACGATCAAGTGTTAGTATCTATTCTTATCAGTTTAACAAAAATGTTTTAGAAGTAGAACAAGAATTTTCATATTGACTTTCCACCCGTTGCAATTTAACAAATTTAAACTGTAAAGAGTTTGCTATCAAATATGGGTTGAAAACCAGTAAAAAAAAAAAAAAAAAAAAAAAAAGCAGTAGTATTCAAAGAGGCAAATAATATGCTGCTTTGGGGAAAAATATTTTCATTCTAATGTGCAGTTTTTAATCTTAAAAACACAATTTAGCTAACAACAATAAAAACAAATGTTCCTGTTTCTAAATTAAATTGTTTGCATTAATGTTCATATATGTGAAAATATAAATGTTTAAGGTTAATGAAGGACTAAAAGTGACCATTGTAAAACAAACTAAGACTAATAATATTAGACCCTGTGTCAGCTGAGACTCTGC